>NC_000003.12:167190422-167341937 GCF_000001405.40 Homo sapiens | reverse complement strand
CTTTATGGGATACGAATTATCTAATTGTGATGTAACAGCAATACTATATTTAAAAACCAAATATGACAAATTTTGTTGCTATTTGTTAGTAAGTTTATTCTGTTATGCCTAAAAATGTTATCCATTTCATTGCATATACAATTTCTTCCTTGTGTAGCTCAAATATGAACAATTGCTGAAAGCAGTTAACTCATCTGGATGCAACATACTTGTAATATTAGTTGAAAAAAATTGCAAGTACTTGCTAAGATAATTAATATAGTGCATAATTATATGGCATCAAAACTGCAAATAGAAAGCAAAATTACAGGTGTGAGTTTCTTATGTTATTTTGTTTTTGCTATTCTGTCTCACTTTTGAGATTGCTTTCTAAGTAGAATTTTGTAGTGTAATGAAAATTGAAAGGCACAGTTATTTAACCAAAATCCAATGTTGTTATGTTTCCTGAGACCAGGTGCTTTAAACTTTTTTGACAATATGTTACTTTTTCAGCTATTCCATTTATATGTTGTCTTATTTTAAAATATTTTAACTGGATTTGATGTGTTTTATTTCATTATTTTCGTGTTATTTTATAAAGTACTAAATATTGAGTCCAAACTGAGTCCAGATTTCATGTTATTTTATAAAGTACTATATATTGAGTCCAGTTTTATTTAATCTATCTATTAAATAATAAGGTGCATTCATAAGCAGGAGCATGTGTCCAGGTCTTTGCTTTTTTTGCCACTCTATGGGTCAAGGAGGAATAATAATACATAAATCTTTAATTAATAAAACCAGATAGAAATCAGACCTTTAGAGGAAAGGTTAATCTAACAGTCTTTTAAGAACTACTTAAAGTAATACTTACATGATGTTGGAATAAGCAATAAATTTCAGCCACATGAATTTCACATTTGCAGGATTTGATTTCTATCTAGCTTGCAATAAGTAGTTTTTTATACCCTTGATATTTCTGTACCACTACTCTTGCAAATACCATATCTGTTTTTAGAAATATGATGAGCAGAACAGGATTTAAGAACATGATTCTGCTGTTAGTTCTTCCATTGCAATTTTATTTCATCTAATAAATATTTATTTTCCTCCTGTTTCTCTATGTATTTAGATGGGGGCTTTTCCTCAAATTTTTTTTTCTTTTCCAGTTGTCTTCTATATACAAATTTCTTCCCTTTGCTTCTCTACCTTTTCCAGTTGGCCCAAAGTTTACTCCCCTGCACCCCCCAACCCTTTCTTTTGATTCTAACAGTAGATGAAAACTTTGATCCAATCATTTATGGATAGCTTCCTTTAATTTTCAGCGAGAATTCAGACTTGACTATGATAAAGCCTATTTTCAGGGAATAAATTTGGTCTAAGACTATCTATAAAGAAGGACCCATAAGAAAGGTAAAATAATAGTTTGCTTTAAGAATATAAAACATATTTTAATAATGTAAAAAAATTGAGAGATAATGCTCACCTTTTTCATTCTTGTTTAATGGATTAAGATGTTCAAAATTATGTATTTTTTATATGAAAATTACTTTTATTTTGCAAAGATATTTTTACTAAGTGGAAATTTGATGGGTTTATTGCATCCTGCCATAGGTCTATGATACTTTGAGGAATTTATTTGCTTGGTGTAACTAGTACCTGCTTGATGTAGTTAGGTCTATGATAATATGAATAATTTATCTACTTGGTGTAGTAATTTCCTTATAGCTCCAAACTTAGAGAGATTTAGTCTAATTTGTTATTATCAATTTTAGATAATAGGATCCTCATACTCATAGTGCAATGTATTCCATGTAATGTGTAAATAGAAATATCCTGGCAAAATAATCTGTACAGGTTTCTTTGGATAAATAAACTTTAGCAAATGTTTTGATGACTTCTAATAAAAGAGTTTGTTTTACCATAAATTAAAGCATAATTCTTCAGTATACATGTGTTGCTGCCACAACACGGTATATGATTCTTGATGGAAGAAGCCGGAAACCATCATTCTCAGCAAACTAACACAGGAACAGAAAACCAATCAACTCTCACTCATAAGTGGGAGTTGAACAATGAGAACACATGGACACAGGGAATGAAACAACACACACCGGAGCCTTTCGACGCGTGAGAGGCAAGGAGAGGGAGAACATTAGGACAAATACCTAATGCATGCAGGGCTTAAAACCTAGATGATGGGTTGAGAGGTGCAGCAAACCACCATGGCACACGTACACCTATGTAACAAACCTGTACATTCTGCACATGTATCCTGGAACTTAAAATAAAAACAAAACAAACAAACCATTTCTCATTTGGAAAATTGCCCACCTAATTAACAGGGCTTGAGGGAAGATTAGGGCTAGGAGAAGGCCACTCAAATCCTATGGTGCTTTGTAACCAAAACCCAAACAAAAACAGTTAACAAATCCTAGTTAAAACACTAATGCATACTTCTTGAGGACTTGTTCTTACTTCTTGGTGATGTAGTTCCCAGTAGTAATTCACTTCTAAGAGAGATTATTTTTACCAAAATGAAAAATCTAAATCAAGATATAGCCTCCTTTATTTATCTGTTGCTTTAAAGTCAGAGGAGGTGTCTTTACAGCTTCTTTGTGCTCATAGTTTTTCTAGATGGCTTAACTTAGTGAAATGCAGGGTTGTTGAAGTCCCTAAAACAGTCAGAACTTAAGCTAAGGGGAGGCATTTTTATATATTTTTCAGGTTTTTTTCTTATGGTTTTCATATGTTGTTAAGATTTTGGCTTTAGTTGTAAGAAAGCTTGCCCCTGATTGCTTCAAAACAATAACACGTTGGGAAAAAAACCTTAAGAATCAATAACACTCTGGAGTTAATACAGACATCATTGCCCTATTTACCGACTGCATATGAGGTAATTCACATCAAAGAAATCAGAACAGATTGTACTTTGAAATATTCTTGATATGAGAAGGAAGTGTTTTCTCAAAAGCCAGGCCAAAAAAAGATTTATAGAATATATATAACAATTTTAAAATTCCCATTAGTCCATAACTTGATCATCCTGAAATGATTTTGTAAATAAAGCCTTCCAAGTTCCAATCATATCGAACAATCACTGCAACCAATAAGTTTATGTTACTTGAGTTCTGCTATAACACAATTTTTTCTCTCTGTGTGTATATGTGTGTATCTCTCTCTCTACCTCTATATCACTTTGTCTAACAAACTCAAATAAAATAACAGAACTCTTCTGCAGAGTTTAGAGTTTTCAGTTTTTAATTCAAGGCTGTGGTTACAATAAATCTCTTCTAAAATTTTGTGACTGAAAAATCAATGCAAGTTAACACTAGGAAAGGAGACATTCTCATTCCTTTCCCCCTCAAACTTGCAAAGTAATACAGGTCTAAACTATGTGTGAACTTTTTTTTTTTTGATCTGGAACTTCTGGATCACTTAAGGAGATATGGCTATGTCAACATGATTATTAATATTTATTGCTGGATAGCCAGAGTTTTGGATGATGATGGTAGTTAGAATTTTGAAGCACTGACTATACCATAAAGTATATCATTTTTCTAACTAAACTAAAACTTTTATTCTTGGGCTTTAACTTCTACAAGGTGCCATCCATTCCAAAATGCTATAAAATATCAACCCTCTTTACTTTGATTAATGATACATTGTCAGAGTGATGAATTCTTCTAGAGTGTAATTTGAAAGATAATATCATTCTAGGCAGAAAAAAAGTTTAGGTGAGAATTTAGAACAGTTACCAGATGAAATCCTACCATTATACAGTGTAGTGAAGGATGTGGGGGAATCTGGAAATGCTGGCAGTAAATCACATCTTTTGGCTCTAGTTTAGTTTCTATCCTAGAGTGAGATATATGATTTACTATGTGCCTTGAAGGCTGTTTTGGTTTGATTTTAAAACATTTTTAGCATGTAGAGCAGTTGCACAGGTAATTTTATACATTTTCAGTCTCCTCCTGCTCCTATTGTTACCTATTAATACTTCACATTTAAATTTTTATACTTAGAAAATGGAAATAAAACTATCTTTAGGTTGAGTTTTAACATTTGAAAATATTTTATTAATATATGGTACAGTGTTATGATACTTAATATGTATAGTTATCTATTTTAAATATTTTCTAAAAATAACCTTCATATTCTTATTCATTGTTGTTACTCAAAATGATTATTGTTATATTATTAAGTGAAAGGCAGTGTGTTTTCTTTTGTAAATCTAGATATGCTCTTTTAAGAAAAGACAAAGATTATACGATATGCCCATTTAAGAAAAGACAAAGGTTATAGGATAAAAACTGTTAACAGTAGTTACTCTGGGGAGTACTATTTTGCTATAAACCAGATTTGTACCAAATACGGGCAGTTATTTAGATTGACTACTGATCTGAGTGTGACAATGTCCTAGATAAACTTTTTTTTTCTGAGATGGAGTCTCACTCTGTCACCCAGGATGGAGTGCAGTGGCACAATCTCGGCTCACTGCAACCTCTGCCACCCCAGTTCAAGCGACTCTCCTGCCTCATCCTCCCGAATAGCTGAGACTACAGGCATGCAACACCAGGTTCAGCTAATTTTTTGTATTTTTAGTAGGGATAGGGGTTCACAATTTTAGCCAGGTTGGTCTTGAACTCCTAACCTCAAGTGATCCTCCCACCTCGGCCTCACAAAGTGTTCGAATTACAGGCATGAGCCACCCTGCCCAGCCTAAATAAGCTTTTATCAGCTCATGTTAATATAATTAAACTATAGTTATATTGATTCTTTGGCAATAAATGAACTTCGAATTTTAATCTATGTTATAATCCTCATTCTTTTAGATACCACTCACCTTTTCCCTGCAGTTCAAAAACTGTAAGTTAGCCGAAGTCACACAGCTTGTTATGTGGTGACCAAGTCTGGGTTGAAATTAAGTCTGTTGAGTTCCAAACCCATACTCATAGATATAGAATAAAACGTACTCTGTGCTAGTAGGACCTATTTTCAGCAGAGAAAGTATGCTTGAAAATAGGAGGAACCTCCATTCCTTAAATTTTTTATATGGTATGACTATGATTTATTTCTATATACTTGGTCAAATATAAAAATAAACAGGCAAAAATAAGTTAAAAGCAAAGAAACAAACAAAACTAAACCCCTTAATCCTTGCATATGCAATTGAATACAGAATTAAAGTTTTGTGAGTTTTTAAAGCAAAGAACAATGTTCAAATCTGTTAGAGACAAAATTTAATATTTTCAGTTTCGGGAAATCAAAGGTAAAACACATTTTCTGTATCACAAAGACTAACATAAATCTAGTAGGGAAAAAGGTTAATTAAGCTAGAATAGATAATTTGACTCTATTTCAAGTCACGACATTTTGTAGCCATTTGACTTTGGCCTAAGCTTTCTGAACTTGAAATTCCTTGTCTATGTAATGGGAATCATAATATCTGCTCTCTTTCTTTGTATGATTGTTCTAAGATTAAGAAAAGTAAGGTATACATACACAGCCTTACAATGGAGAAAAGTAATGTTTAAGAGTATGATGTTCTAGAAAAGAACATTTCCATTTATTTGCATTGTATTGATTTCATTTATGTACTAAAGTAGCAGAACTTTAAGATAGTCAAATATGGAATTCTATTTTATCAGTTACCTATGATGTTTATCTTATTTTTTAGCATAAAAAATGTGGGTTTTTCACTATTTCTGATTCTCTTAATATGCTACCTAAAAATGTTATAACAATTATTATAACATTGATAGCAGGATTCATTTTAGGACAGAAATAATCTTTGTTTTGTGTTACTTAAATAAACATATATTTGAATGATAATTTTATATAAAATTAATCCTATAGCTTTTGATATTTTAAAAAAAATAAAATGAAAACCAAACATGGAACTAACTGCCTCTGAAATCTACAGACCTTTATTCTAGGACATTTTAAATGAGGCTTAGTTTGGATTATTCTGTTTTAAAAATGTTGGTAAAACTACAGATGTTTCTGAAAGAGTGAAGCATTACCATTGACTTGAATTTCTTTTAAAAATAAAAGGACTATATAGGCCTATATAGGTTTTCTGAGAATCATTGGGAAAATTTGGAGCAGATTCCACAGATTTGCATACAGACAGCAATATATATGCATAGGTCACGTTCATCATTTTTCATAGGTATTTTATTAATTCAGTATGAAATAACACTAGTTAATTTGATGTTCACTGATATATTCCAGAATCAGACTGCAATGAATCTTAATAGATTTACAAATGTCATAACTGAAAAAGTTTCAATGTAATGTTAGCTATCTAAATTGGCAACTAGATGAAAATTTAAAAATAGGAGCATTTTCATGGCAGAGTACAAAATAATTTTATCTGATCCCTGCTAAATTTTTCTTGTTTGGAGGATATTTGCTAAGAAATAAGAGCTACTTCCTGTCTTCCTCATGCCAAGTTCTCACAGAGCATCTGACGATTCTGAATCTTACCCCTGGAGTTTAATTCAAACTCAGATAGGATCCTAAATCCTGCAGTCCCTAGGCAGACTCTGGTAGTTTCTGATAGAAAACCCTTCAGAGAATGGGGCCTTCCCCAAATTTGCCAGTTCTTTGTCAGTCACTCTGACAGCATGTGAAAAGTTTTTCTTTAAATCCCTTTTCTAAATTACTTATTTTAATTCTGTAGCTCTTTTCCTTCCCTGACACCTTATTTTTACCGTATGCTATTTTTCCAGAAACTGTAGTAGCCATAAAATCATTAAAATATATATGTTTTTTCCTTTTGTGAGCTTATGTGATATGAGGAAATGTGAAATCAATATAGTTAGGGCTGGTAGAGATCTACGCAGGATATTAAGAGGGTAAAGAGGGTAAATACCGTGTACAGTTGGGGTAGTGCAGTGTGCAAGGAAGGGTTCCTAGACTTGTTGGAGTAATGGCGTGAATGCAGAGGAGAAGCAAAAGCCTGCCAGGTAAAGATGATGGTAGAGGAGAGAAAGCCTCCCTAGTAAGTGAGCCTCATGAGCAAGGAACAAAATGAGAAATGACTTGGAGTTTATTAAGGAACTACAGAGAGAAGTGCTTCCTGATGTACCCCTTTGGATAGTGAAGGCTTTCTAAAGACGTTTTATCACCATGGAGTAGTCATTACTGCTTATTCAGTCTCCTACTAGATTAGCTATATTTAGTTCTTTATTTATGATGTGCACAAAATATCGCATCTATCTATTTGGGGGTGTGCATAGTGGAAAGTTTATGAGTCATTAGACTTATACACACCTGAGGTCACTTCCTAACTCTGGCACCCACTCAGCACTGTGACCAAGGGCAAGTTGTTTAAACTCTCCGAGCTTTAGTTTCTTTTCTTTCTTTTTTCTTTTTTCGAGATGGAGTGTTGCTCTGTCGCCAAGGCTGGAGTGCAGTGGCTTGATCTCAGCTTGCTGCAACCTCCGCCTCCTGGGTTCAAGCAATCCTCCTGTCTCAGCCTCCCGAGTAGCGGAGACTACAGGCACACACCACCATGCCTGGCTAATTACTGTGTTTTTAGTAGAGATGTGGTTTCACCATGTTGGCCAGGCTGTCCTGGAACTCCTGACCTCCAAATGATCTGCCAGCCTCAGCCTCCCAAGGTGCTGAGATTACAGGAGCGAGCCACCACGCCCGGCCTAAGCTTTAGTTTTCTTAATTCCTAAAACAGATAAAAATATTTATGTTTTAGAATTGCCTTGATGATTAAGTGATATATTGTTTTTAAGATGGTTTGAATTGTATGAGGCCAAACTAGTTCCCTCAGTAGATGGCAGCTGTCACTATTATACTTGTTGATACAAATGCCAATTTGTCTTTTTAAATATTAAATTGAATTTATTTAATTCTGGGAGTCATAGAATAACACAAATATGAGTTAATGTATATAAATTATTTAGGTTAACATATGAGGCGCTTTAATTATATTGTTACTTTTTTAATAGGCAAAATCTCAAATATTATTCAATGTATTGGATGTTGCCCATCAGTTTATAAAGGATGTTAATCCAGATGAACCCAAAGAGGAGAATAATTCTACAAAGGAAACCAGTAAAATTCAACATAAACCCAAATCTGTACTTCTCCAGAGGAGCAGCTCTGAGGTAAACTGAGGAAAATATAGTAGACATTTTCTGACATATGTAACTATGGCAGGTGCCATTCATGTACTTAACTTGAGCTATAGAATTTCACCAATAATTTCATCACATTTTTATTTCATATGGATTTGTTCTTCATTAACCAAATACATCTTGACTATAAAAATATTTTCAAGAAGCCTGCTTTGATTCCACTGAACACTACTCTTTTTGGTGAATGATCTTTTGACCATATGTCTTTCTGGACATTTTCATCCATGTCAGGAATTGGATGAGTATTTGGGGAAAACATTTTTTTAAAAACCACAATGCAATATAACAATTTTATATTAGTCAGGACTTCATTCAGAGAAGCTAAAAATACAAAACCTTGCCCAGAGTTTTAAGTGACAGGCAATTGCACAGTTATATAAAACCAGATTTATACCAAATTCTGGCAGTTATTTAGATTGACTGCTGATCTGACAACATGCTAGATAAGCTTTTATCAACTCATGTCTATATATTTATAATAGACATATTGATTCTTTAGCAAGAAATGAACTTCAAATTTTGATCTATGTTATAATCCTCATTCTTTTAGATGCCAGTCACCTTTTCCCTGCAGTTCAAAAACTGTAACTTAGCTGAAGTCATTCTGCTTGTTATATTTTGACCAAGTCTGGGTTGAAGTTAAATCTGTTGCGTTCCAAACCCATGCTCATAGACATAAAAGAAAATGTGTTCTATGCTAGTAGGACCTATTTTCAGCAGAGGGAGTGTGCTTGAATTTTTCAGGAGTGTCAGCATATTTGTGTGGATTTCGCTTTCTAATAGACCTGTCAAGGATGTTTTGTGAAGAATCACTGCCTCCTAATTATAATAATAATGTATTGAAGACCAGACACTGCCCTAAATATTTTACACATTATCTCCTTTTGTCTTTTCTTAATTATTCCTCTTTTTCAAATGAGAGAATAGTGGCAGGGAATAGTTTTTATAAATTGCCAAAGGTAGAATTGATAATGGAACTTAGATTTCAGCTCAGACCTTCTGACTCCAAATTTCCTGCATTTAACTATTTTGCAGAGACTGTGGTTTTAAAAGTTTCTTCTTCGTGCCTCCCTTTTCATCTAATTAATCCTATCAAAAATAAATCAGCAACTAACTTTTATTGAACACCTTATGCTAGGCATTGTGCTTAATGCTTTACTTGCCTTATCCAATAATCTCAATAACCATGTAAGGTTTGTGCTTTTATTACCCCAATTTAACAGATGAGAAAGATGAGAGATTCAGTAACTAGCCTTACTAGAAAGTGATAGAGTAGGCTCCTCTGTGTTATTTATTAATCTTTACACTAGATGTTTCTTCTGGTCTTCATAGGTAACTATGCATGCTGTATACATTGTCTGCCTCATTGTCTTAACTTAAAAACCATTAATTCAATGATTTCATCCAGGAGTGTATATTAAAATCAACTAGAGAAACATTAAAGAAATACATATGATTGAGTTCAGCATCTCCGTGGGTGGGGTTCAGACGTGTGTGTGTGTGTGTTTGTGTGTGTGTGTGTGTGTTTAACTCCTCAGTGATTCTGGTGAGTGTTCTTGTTGGGAGTCACTGCTATATACGACAGAGTACACAATGAAGAGATAACCGCTTCATAGGCTTAGTGTTCCTCTGTGCCAAAGAGCAGTGCTCCTCCAACTGTAATAAGCATCATAAGAATTGGAGATTGTTAAAAACTTGCATTCCTGGGTCTGCCACCAAATTTGGATTTTTAAAAATATTTACATCTGGGTTAGGGCTCAAGAGTCTTATTTTTAATTTAATGGCTAGAAGAGCCAAATGGTACCAATGCCTGATGCTTCTCTTATGGCCTTTTTAATGGATCAAAGCCAATGGCACATCCTTGGAAAGAGGTACAGTTCACGAAAGAGCTTACATCTTATAAGCCGAAACCTGGGTTTGAAATAGTGATGCTGTTTTTCTTATAGCATTGTAATATTGGGCAAGTTACTTAGCTTTTTTGCTCTTCTGTTTTCTCCTTTGGAAAGTGGGGATATTAAAACACATCATCTTACAGGGATATCATGTGCTTACAGGGTAATGAATGTACAGCATTGAATTTCTATGTGCGTCTTCAAATTTCTTTTAGCATTGGGCAAGGTCATATTGGACTCTGAGTGGACGTGATATATGACAGTTTTGAGCTGAAACGTTTAAGAGCTAATGTACAACCCTCCAGCTTTTTCTACCCTGCCACAGCTATGTGGAAGCCAGGTATTCCAATGGCATAACTCCAATATGAAAATGTCTGACATCTCTGATTCATTGCTTGGAAGGAAGCTTCCCTGGAGGGCTGCTGAAATTGCTGCATGTTGAAATCATTTTGTATTAAGCCACTGAGTTTTCAATGCTTGTTCATTAGTGTAGCATGTATACATACATACACTGACATATTGCTTACTGGATACCAATAAGTACCTTCTCACAAATACTCCTAAGACTCTATCTTTAAACTAAATTTATCCTGTCTTTTCCAAAACCTATAAATGTTATTGTTGGAGGCGCCCTACCTAGCTTTCCAAGCCAACAAAGGCAGTTATTTTCTGTAGTATTTTCACTTCCTCCTCTGCACATTCAGTTGGTTACCTTTATTAGCCTTCTCAGGCTGCCATAACAAAATACCTCCAACTGAGCGGTTTAAACAAGAGAAATTTATTTTCTACTGTTCTGTAGTCTAGAAGTCCCAGATAAAGGTGCTGGCAGTATTGGTTCCTGGTGAGGCTTTACTTCCTGGCTTTTAGATGGCTGCCTTCTTGCTGTGTTCTTATGTGGCCTTTCTTCTGTATGCACATGCATACAGAAGGGGAGTGGGGGAGAGAGAGAGAGAGAGAGAAAGAAAGAGAGGAGAGAGAAGAGATATATGATGCCTCTTCTTCTTCTTCTTCTTCTTCTTCTTCTTCTTCTTCTCCTCCTCCTCCTCCTCCTCCTCCTCCTCTTCCTCTTCTACTTCTGCTTCTGCTTCTCCTCCTCCTTCTTCTTCTTCTTCTTTCTTCTTCTCCTTTTCTTCTTTTCTTCTTCTTCATGTGAGACAGAGTCTTGCTCTGTTGCACAGACTAGAATGCAGTGGTGTGAACTCAGCTCACTGCAACCTCCTCCCATGCTCAAACATTCCTTCCACCACAGCCTCCTGTGTAACTGGGACCACAAGTGCATACCACCACGTCCAACTATCTCCCTCTTCTTAACAGGATACCAATCCTATTAGATTAAGGCCTCAACTTCATAATCTCATTTAACCTCAATTACCTCCTTATAGGCCCTATCTCAAAATGTAGTCACATTGGGGGTTAGGGCTTCAACATATGAATTTGTGCACGGTGATGCAATTCAGTCCACAATAGTTATCATGTCCCATATAGGCTCCCAGCTAAAAACTCTTGAATGTTTGGTCATTTATTCTATCCTTATTGCTCTTTTAGATACTGAAATTTCTTCTTTAAAAAAAGGTTTATAAATGGAAAGTGCATTTCATTCTCTTCTAGGAGTCAGGCAACCCTTCTGGTTTTGTATGTATTTTTTACACAAACGTTAATATGTTTTCTCTACAAACATGTTTGCTCTGCATTTTTTTTCACTTAACTTTGTAGTTTTTATATTCACATAAGTACATCCTACAACCTTCTCATTCTATGTAGTGGCTGTAAAATACTCCATTTATTGGATGTGAAAAGACTTTTAAAAATCTATCTTCCACTGATCAGCATTTATGCTATTTCAGTCTTTTGCCAGTATATGCTAAAATATAAAGTATAATTTTGAATAATGTGGTTTTGCACAAATGTAAGTATATCAGTATGATAAAATCCTGAAACTCCTAGATAAAAAATTATGCATTTGTAATGTTGATCAATGTGGGCAAATGTCTGTAACATTTTAATTGGTTTCCTTGCAGCCAAACACACTATTTTATAATTTCCCTCTCTTTGCCACACTGGTATATGGGACTTTACAATGGTTTTACATGTCCAATGGGTTTAAGCTCCTCTGTGCAGCAGGCAGAGCCCTTGATATTCTTCCCCTGCTTCCTTTCTACCCTTTATATTTTCTCATTCTTTACTTTTTGCTACATCAATGCAAACTGCTTATAGTTCCATGCCACCAATGCTGTTTGACTCCCATGTCCTAGCATACGTATCATTTCCTTTCTCTGGAATGCTGCCTTTGGCACTTTTTGCTTATGGAATTCTTGTTTTATCTTTCAAAATCCAATTCAGACATCATTTCCCCTGAGTTTTACCTGCTTCTTGCACCTTTTTCTGTTGTGGACTTATTAACCTGTGTTTCTGTGGCCAACGGTTAGCATGGTGTCTAGTGTCTGACAGGTCCTCAGATACTTTTTGCTCGTATTTAAAATTTCTTATATACGTCTTTAACAATATACCCTGAATTGTACTCTAACAAGCTGCCTGTTTATTTTTCAATTGCGGGCTGAACATAGAGATTTATACTCTCATGTCTTAAAAGATACACATGGATATTTAGCAATTTGACCAGTGTAGGTAATCCACATTTGATAATTCAGCCATTGGTGTGGGTTTTACTTTGCTTGGGTTTCCTAATGTGGCTGTTCTCTCTGATTCACTGCATAGCTTCCAAATACTTCCTTCATTTTCTTGTGTGCTTGGACTGGATTTATATTTTGTACTGAATTCATCTCTCCACAACCATCATTAATCTGAGGAGCATGCATTGTATTACATGCATCGATGAACTTCTTCATTCATTCCACTGACTTTTAATGAACACCTACTTTGTGCCAGGCACAGGTCTTGGCACTAAGAAAAAAGACAAAATCCACAACTTCATTATATACTAATGGGGAAGGACAGGCAATAAATAAACATATAGAATAAAGTCACATGGGAGTAAGTAATGGGAGGAAGAATAAAACAGTTAAGGAATTATTAAATGGGGGAAAGGGGGCCTATTAGTTTTAGAATTGGTAGTGAGGAACTCTCTGAGTAGGTGATATTTGAGCATTTCATTGAGTCAACAAAATGAGGGAATGGCTATGTAAAGATATGGAGAAGGCTCATTCCAGGCATTGGGTATAGCTAATACAAGGCCCTGAAGAGGCAATGTGCTTGATGGGTTCTCAGAACTGCAAGAATGTGAGACTAGCTGGTACAGGGTGAATGAAAGGAGAATGGAAGGAGGTAAAGTAAAAGGCAAGGAAATACAAGGTTGTGTAGGGCGGTGTAGGTCCTGGTAGGAACTTGGGGTTTCATAGACAGTCAACAGAGAGTTTTGAGCAGGGGAATGTCTGATCAGATTTACATTAAAAAAAAACCCTGTTTTTTTGATATGAGAAGGTTGCGGGGAGTAGGAGATTGGAGGCGTAGGGAGAATGGATACAAGGCAATTGCACCTTTACAGAGAGAACACTGGTGAACAGCATAATGATAAGTCATTAGTTCTGTAGGCTGTCATCTTCATGATTTCTGAAGAGACCATTTATAATTGCCAATAGAGTTTTAAATAACAGAGTAAAGCATATAAATAAGCACAACTTAAAAATATTCTAAGTTTAAAAAGTCTGATTTGTGATGACTAATAATTAGTTCTACCTGTATTTTAAAACACAGAATTTTTTTATTAAAACAATTTTTGTGGGTAAATACAGAAAATTTAATAAAGCATGCCTATGTATCCTTTTAATTAGGTAGAAATTACAACGATGAAAAGAGCACAACGTACAAAACCAAGAAAGAGTCTGTTGTGTGAAGGGTCATTCGATGAAGAAGCTTCTGCACAGTCCTTTCAGGAAGTGTTAAGTCAATGGAGAACCGGAAATCATGATGACAACAAGAAACAGAATTTACATGCAGCAGTAAAAGGTATGGCTTTTTTTTTTTTTTTTTTTTTGAGACAGAGTCTCACTTTGTTGCCCAGGCTGGAGTGCAGCGGCGTGATCTTGGCTTACTGCAACCTCCACCTTCCGGGTTCAAGTAATTCTCCTGCCTCAGCCTTCTGAGTAGCTGGGATTACAAGTGCGTGCCACCATGCCTGGCTAATTTTTGTATTTTTAGTAGAGACGGGGTTTTGCCATGTTGGGCAGGCTGGTCTCAAACTCCTGGCCTCCTGACCTGCCTGCCTCCCCTCCTAAAGTGCTGGGATTACAGACATGAGCCACTGTGCCCAGCCCGTATGGTTTTTTATACCATGAATGTTTTAAAATGAAGCTGACTTTAGTTTATTTACCTCCATTCTCTGTGAATATAAATGTGATATTCAAAATCTATAAACACTGGGACAGCAGTTTGCTATAACTCCTCAAAGGAGTATGCACTGTGTGATCATTGGTGAGTGGTTTAATATTTATAGGCCCTGAATTGGGCACTAGGGGGATTTGCATTTGTTTTCTGTGTAAATTCAGACTGTCAAATGAATGGATAATTGGATTCTTTCAGTTCTTCTTCTAGTAGAAATTTTTGCCAGGACAACTATTGCTTTTTTGAGCAGTAATTGTAACACATAAAATGGGAGAGTCTGTGAGATAAAGAGGAATTTTTTTTTTTTAGAATATTTGACTTAAAAATACAATTTTAAGGACCACTATGAACTTCAGGAGGAGAATTGATTTGCGTTCTCATTGTTTTTGTTTCTTTTTGAACTACTTTTCGTTCTTTTTTTTTTTTTTATAATTTCGCTCCTACATTCTAGACATTGATGATCCAGATGACTGAACAGTATGTTGAAGTTTCCCAGTATGTCTTGAGGAAAACCATAAGTTTTAAAAGTATTCAATTTATTAATTTTATTACTCAGAATCTTGTAGTGTCTTCCAATTGCTTTTCATTTAATATAAAATGTTAGATAATAAATTTCAATCATGTATCTTACTTGCCAATTTTACTATTTTTATTTCATTTTTTTTCCATTGGAGAAACTCTTCTGACTATTACACTTTTATTACACAGTGTAATTTCTAATCTCAAAGTATCAACAATGTCTTCTAATTATAATTAAACTTTTAAATAAATTTTCTTCAAGTATTTTTCTACATTTCTTTATCACACATCAATTTCATTGACATTTTCAAGACATTATTTGGATGCTGTCTTCTTAGTAGTTTATATCTCAGTATACACCTCATTTCTCATTGGCTGTGTTATTTTATGTGCTTTATGCTTGCTACTTCATGCAATTTTTTTTTTGACTTGTCAACTCTGAAAAGTACTAATTATTCTATAGAAATTCTTCTTTGTCTGCTTTGGAAGCCATAGTATTTAAAATAATACTGTACCAAGTTGAAAAGTCACCAGATCAGAAGTATAACTCTTTTAAAATTTGTTCTTCATAATGGAAATAACTGTATGATAAAATAATGAATGCTTATTTTGAAAGACTTGGTTATAACAAAAAGTTACCAAGAAGAAAATGAAAATACCTCAGTCTCATCATATAGAGAAAATCCATGTTAACATTTTGGTACATGTTTTTCAATAACCATAGTTATGTACACACACATACTCACACAAAAAAATGAGGTAACACTAAATACTATTAGTTAACTTGCATTTTCACTGAGATTCTGTAATGGGCAACTGGCCATCTAAATAGAGATACACACAATCATTTGTAACTCTTGTAGAGTATTCTATATGGCATGATTTAATCAGACATTTATCGATGGATATTTTATTTCTAATTCCCAGTATTTAAAAGATATTATGATGGGCATCTTAGCTATTTGTGCACTTACATATTTACCTTAAAATAAATTTCTAAATATAGAAATGTTGCCTCAGTGGTGACTTGTTTTATAAAATTTTAATGAATATTGTCAAACTGGCCTCCAAAAAGATTACTGTGTTGGTTGTACTCTCACTGGTAGAGTGTGACATGACTATTTTCCTGCATTTTCTGGTTCTTTAACTTTAGCCAGTTTGGTTGACAATAAATTATTATCATTATAACTGGCTTTTTACTGTTATTTGTGAAGTAGACAATATTGGCTATTTTTGTCATTACCTTTTATTTTTATTATTTGCTAATATTTGGGCACAAGTAATGTTTTACATATTAGAGGTATACAACATTACTCTCAATAATAATTCTATCAGCGAATATTGAGTACACGCTATGTGGTGGGGTCAAATGATGTGCAAAAGCAGTAGCAACTTCGTCTGGAACTTACAGCCTAAGTGGAGGTCAAAAAAATCAAATGATTAGTATAATTTGGATGAAGAAGTGCAATGCCCACGTCCATACCAGGTGTTATGGTTTGGCTGTGTCCCCATCAAAATCTCATCTTGAATTGTAGCTCCCATAATTTCCACGTGTTGTGGGAGGGCCCCGGCGAGAGGTAATTGAATCATGGGAGTGGGTCTTTCCTGTGCTGTTCTCGTGATAGTGAATACGTCTCACAAGATATGATGGTTTTATAAATGGGAGTTCCC
The DNA here is from genome assembly GCF_000001405.40 of Homo sapiens. Taxonomy (NCBI): domain Eukaryota; kingdom Metazoa; phylum Chordata; class Mammalia; order Primates; family Hominidae; genus Homo; species Homo sapiens. The sequence continues at coordinate 167,325,376 of NC_000003.12, read as the reverse complement.
TGCACAAGCTCTCTCTTGCCCACCACCATGTAAGAAGTCTCTTTGCTCTTCCTTTGTCTTCTGTCATGATTATGAGGCCTCCCCAGCCATGTGGAACTATGAATCAATTAAACCTCTTTCCTTTATAAATGACCCAGTCTCGGGTATGTCTTCATTAGCAGCGTGAGAACAGATTAATATGCCAAGTGAAAATAGCAGGCACTGCCTCTTTTCAACTGTATCACACGAGTTTGGAAAGCAAGTAGAAGAAGACATTTAACAGTGTTAGATTAAGAAATAAAAAACAAATCAGATTAGATGAGATTGTTTTTATCAATGTAGATGTACTCGCACAGGATTTGGATCTTAGTGTTTTGTCTCAAGCACTTCAGGAATGGCAGTAACAATTGGGCGGGTTGGTTAATTGAAAACTGGACTTGATTTGAAAGTTTATGAGATTGAGATGCTGTAATTTCCCTGCCATTTTGTAGAAGAAGAAGTTGGAAGGCTTTGGGAGATAGGAATTTTGGAACCGATAATGTGCAACCTATTTAGCTGTCATTACCAAGGCATTAAGCACCGTAATACTTAAAAAGGTTTGTTGTGGCCTTCCTCTATAGGCTGAAGATGACTGGAGGGGAATGCTTCAATGGGACCAAGCATCCTGATTTCAAAGAATGGAAATGATAGAGGCCAGGTGTTGGCACACAATCTTCAAAATTATGGTGAAAAAGTTACCGAAGTAAGGGTCAAGGAGGAGTAGTGATCAGTGTTTCAATTCACAGAGATTTCTGACGATAATTGGTGTGCCTAGGAATGAAAAAGTCATGCAGCCTACTGTTTTACCTATAGTAGAAGAAAATTTCTGTTTAATGGGCAGAGAGCCGGCTTCAGCCACCATATTGGGGATTCAGTTTTTTATGAAGTCCTCAGACCTAAGCCAGGTCACAGCTCTGGAATCCCTTAATTAAGAAAGAGACTGGGTCTGCTGGCTTATGTCTGTAACTTCAGCACTTTAGGAGGCCAGGAGGTTAAGACCAACCTGGGCAATGTAGTGAGACCTCATCTCTACACAAAATTTAAAGAAAAGTCATACATGATAATGTGAACCTATAGTCCTAGCTACGTGGGAGGCTGAGGGTCAACAATTACCTGAGCTCAGAATTTCAAAGTTACAGTGAGCTATGATCATGCCACTGCACTCCACCCTGGGTGACAATGTGAGAGCCTATCACAAAGAAAAAAAAAAGAATTTTGTTTGCTTTCCATTATCACTAACATTTAATATTGTGAGATTTAAAAATTTTTGCTTAATAGAGATGATTTTGTGTATCTCTTATTACAAATGACATGAAACATCTTTTCACATATTTCTTGACCATTCAGCTTAATAGTATGCTTTAAATTTCTAGTTTTCTAGTTATTTCTGTTATTGATTTTTAACTTGGTTTTGTTTTAGTATTCTAAAATCTCATTTCCTTCTATGTGAAAGGCAGGTACTTTCAATGGCCTAGAAAGTTATGTGTGATCTGAAGTCCATTATCTCAGACATCTCATCTCCTGTTACTCTCCTGCAGGCATGGCTGGTTTCGTTTCAGCCACTCTTGACTTCTACCCGTTCTTCACATACTTTAGGCATACTTTCCCATCAGGACTTTTGCACTATCTATTAAGGAAAACACCCATGATCCCATCAATTTGAGGATGGAGAATCTTATGCACATTCTTATACAATGTAGCCAGTGAACCATGAAAGAAGGGAGCAAATAAAAACATAAGTTACATACCTTATTTGGCATTTCCCAGGGAGCCATGCCTCATAAATCCGTAAGTTTGTTTACGACAAGCAATTCTAAACAAGAGCTAGCATTTTAAATACACCATATAGCTAAAGAGTCTCCTCCCAGCAAATATTATTAATTCATTTGCCTGTAGGTCCAGTTATCAACATATTCACAAACAAATTAACCCAGGTCACCTCCCATCTTTATTTCTTGGGAATGTGCCATTGGTAAGGGAGAAAAGTGAATCACGGGCCAGCTGCTTTATCTTCTTCCTCTTCCATCACCCTTCTGTGTTTAGAGTTTATATCTCAAGCACAGTGGCTCTTCTCTAACATCTAGACAGCAAAAACAAAAGAGTTCTTTCCCCCCCCCCCCTCTTTTAGCTCTCCTGTCAAGAAATCTTGTTTCAAAATGAAAAGGGGGACTCATAGTGGAGGCATTTCTTCTCTCTCATGACTTGCTCATGTCCTTAACTCTGCTCTTTCAGTTCAAGGGATTCTGATCAGTGTTTTCCCAAACTTTTTCCAATTGCTTTCTTCAACACTGCTCTACTCTTTGGGAAAAATAGAAGTGGGATTCCTTACTTTATTTTTACTTTAATTTGTTTCCATTGCTGGCCCGTAGCTGTTTCTGGCAGTTAATCATTGAAGTCTACAATATGAGGCTGGGACACCCTCTAGCCTTAGTTTATAAAAAAATGTTTTTCCCATCTTTACTATTTCCCTTGATTCTCCTACATTTTTTTTCCCCTGTGATGTTCAGTTTGGAGACAGGAACGATACGTGGGAGGGTGGAGAGACTAGTAATCATGGATTTACACTGCTTTCTTTCCTAGATATCTTCATCAGTTTTAAATATCTCTGAATAGTGATTTTAATTTAGTAGTGCTTCAGAAATATCTTAAACATCTGGAAGTAAATTACCATGTAGATATAAATTTGTGAAGAAAATTGTCTCCTCCAGATGTCATTATGAATTATTTATTTCCTGTTTCTCATAATGTGTAAATATTATTGTCAGTGGCTATAACACTTTATACATCTGTGTATTATACCTTTATGTATGTGTTTATACAATGTACAATGAATGTTTGTATTTATAATTTTTATTTAAAAGAATGAGTTGCTTTAACAAACCTTCTGAATCATAAGATCCCTTCATTTCAAGAGATTGTTGAAGAAAACTGTCTATCCAGTCCCTTAATAAATTACCAATATTTAATACTTTTGCATTATTTAAACCTTAACCTATTGATTGTATAAGTAAATATTAAAGCATATATGCCCCAAAAATGATGAGTTCTACATCTTAAGAGAAGATATAGTAATTTGTAAACTTGCTTATTTTAATTATGCACATTGTGTTTATTTTTACAGACTCATTGGAAGAATGCGAAGTACAGACTAATCTGAAAATTTGGAGAGAACCACTTAATATTGAACTTAAAGAAGACATTCTATCCTATATGGAAAAATTATGGCTTAAAAAACACAGGAGGTATTTTCTGAAATTATAATACTATTAGGAAATATGAAAGTTATTTATGTTTCTTTCTTGTATGACATGCCTTCCTATAGCAATTTTATATGTATATTTCATATTTGCATACATAATTTTAAAGCAAGATTAAATCCCTGTGAAGTTGCTGTTCCAATAAGAATTTTAATTCTATTTATGTATATGATGCATCATTAATTTACAGTTTTCCTTGAGAAATGGAAATGTGTATATAAGGAAAAGGCGCAAATGCAGAAATGAATTTAAGAAGAATAATAAAAATAATGTGATAAATGAAATATTACTTTGAGAAGACACCAGTTTTTTATATTAGCACTAACATTTGAGACTATAATTTTCAGAATCTAGTTTTAAATTAATTAAACATTTTTCTAATTTTATTAATAGTAATTAAATATACTTTATTCAAAGAGATATCACCAGATACAATCAGCTAGAAACTGTGGCAAAATATGGGTTATTTTTTCGTAGATCTGAAGTGAGGCCTGAGATTCTGTATTTCTGAATTTCTAATAGCTCCCAGGTGATAATGGTTGGATGAGGCTGGTCTCTGGTCTTTTTTTGAGGTGCAAGTTGTTGGAGGAGCTCTCTAGAATTTGCCTGAGAAGTGGTCATCACACCCTTGCTTCACCTTCAGTTACGCAAAACCATCTCCCGAGGTGGCCCATTCCATCTGTGGAAGAGATATTCATTGAACTGTAATCTGTTTCCAGCTAATTTCTAAACTTGGTTCTAATTCTACCTATTAAGCCCATACAGATAAAATCTAATTTTTCTTCTCCATGGTATCTCTTCAGATTTTTGAAATCAGCCCTCATGTTTCCCGTGAAGCCTCTGCTAGATAGGTTAATACCCGCACCACCACTCACCTTCAACTGTTTGTAATGTGCTAGATTTTTTTTCTTTTGGATTATTTTGAAAAGAAGATATACAGATGGGTTTCAAAATAGCACAAAGAATTCCCAAATAACATTCACTCAGCTTTCTCTAATGGTAACATCTTACATAAACATAGTGCATATCAAAACCAGGAAACTTACATAGGGACAATATTATTGAGAACTGTACATTTTACCTTAATTTTATCATCAGCATTTTCACTATTATCCTTACCCCATTCCAGGATCCAGTCCAGGATTACACATTGTATTTTTTGTCATATTTCCTTATCCATTACAGTTCTTCAGTCTTTCCCTGCCTTTCATGACCTTAACACTTTTGAAGAGTACTTGCCAGGTGTTTCATAGAATGTGCTCAATTTGGGCTTGTCTGATGTTTTTTCATAATTAGACTGAGGTTATACACTGTGAGGAAAAATGCCACAGAGAGTATGTGTCTTTCTCAGTGCGTGACATTCTGGGATCGTGATGTCAATATATCTTATTACAGATGATGTTAACCTTGATCACATAGTTAAGGTGGTGCTAAGTTTCTCCACTGTAAAATCACTACTTTCCCTTTATAATTGATAAATATTTTAGAGGAGACACATTGAGATGATACATCAACTCTGTTTTCCCTTAAACTTTCACCTCCTAATTTTAGAGTTTGTGAGTGAATTTTGCCTGCAGCAGTTAGTACTCTCCTGCTCTATTGCAGATATTCTATTTCCTTTGTTCCTTCTAAATTTATTAGTTGGAATTCCTCTTAAAAGAAGTGTTCCTTCACCCACTTTTATTATTTTTTCTTTATGTCAACTCATGAATATTTATTTTATTTTGGGGATTGATATCTAATATTATTGTTATTTATTTTGCAACTCAAATTATTTCTGCCTTGGCCATTGTGGACTCTGTCGGGTTGACTCTTCCATCCTTTTGATTTGTTGTCATCAATTTTTTTTTTTTTTTTTGGTTAGTTTGCTTTGAACATCTCTTTTTTTTCTGGAACTCAAGATGCATTTTCCCTGCCCAAGCCAAGGAATTGTTTTTCTAAAAAATACTGGTTCCCTTTATTGGAGAATGGTGCTCAGAAACAAAGATCTGGACTCTAGGTGTGATCATTACTATTCTGGTGCCACAATTCTAGGCCTTCTCAGAGGAAGAAACTGGGAAGTACACACACACACACGTGCGTGCACACACACACACACAAATCCACATACACACATATAAATTTTTTTCTGTATCTATCCATCTGGATATCTATTAAAGTAACATGCATTCACACCCAGGCATTCCGAATCCAAACCAGCATCACATGATTCATTTCCATTCTCCCTTTGCTTATTTGACAAATTTCTTTCACTTACAGTGAGAAACTTGGCTTTCATTATCTATAATATATTTATTAATTAGCCCTAAAATATATATGTATGTATACATACAGTAGTTTCAGAATCACAAATATCACTGAGAGAAACAAGGGACAATTAATTTCAAAATTACTGTTAATAATATCACTGAAAGAAACAAATTTTCCACCTAGAGTACAGTCTTTGTGTGTCATGCTTTTATCTGTAGCCTACGGTATCTAGGCCAAACCATGTTTTCCAACATTACTTTGGCCATAGTGCTCATTTATTTCTTACCTCCTTTAAGGTTGGTATGACTTTCATTGGGTTCAGCCCATATCCTCACTGATTTTTAAAATTTGAATAAACTTGTGGTGTACAGTTCTATGGGTTTTTAGCAATGCATAAAGTCATGTGTCTACCACAGTACCCCTGCCCCCACAAAAAACAGTCTTACAACCACATTCCCTTGAGCTTCCTCTTTCTTCTCTTCCCTTTCTTAGTCCGTAACAACTATTCATCTGTTGTCCACCCTTACAAATGTGCCTTTTTTTGGAGGTCATATAAATGAAATCATACAGTATCCGTCCTTTCATGTCCTTCATTTAGCAGAATGCATTTAAGATTCATCCATGTTCTTGTATGAATCAATATTTGTTCTGGCTGGTTTCCAGTTTTTGGCAATTATCACTAGGTCCTTTAAAAATATTTTCATAACAGGTTTTTCTTGAATATAGGTTTTTAATTCCCTGGGTAAATACCTGGGACTGTGATAGGTGGGCTATATGGTAAGTGCATGTTTATTTTTATAAGAAACTGCCAAACTCTTTTCTAAATTGACTGTACCATTTTGCATTTGCTCCAGCAAGGTACGAGAGTTCTGGTTGCTCCAAATCCCTGCCAACACTTGGTATTCAGTTTTTTTTTCTTTTGTTTGACATTTTAATAAGGCGTGTAGTTGTATCTCATTGTAGTAGCTTATATGGCAGAGGTTTAAGGTAATTCATTTATAACTAATGTCCAGGCTGTATATATTTTTTAAAGTATGATGCCCATAATAGCTCTTCAGGCTATTTTTTTTGGGGGGTACTGTGGTCCATATGACTTTATGCATTGGTAAAAACCCACAAAACTGTACACCACAAATTTATTCAAATTTTAAAAGTGAATGAGGATATGTGTAACAGTAGTGTGTATCTGTTAATTGCCTTTTTCTAATTAACAATTGGCATATAAATGTAATTCCAAAGTCACTTGTCAATTTTATCAAAATTTTAATGCCTTTGAAAGTTGCAGAAGAGGCATTACAAAGGAAGTACGTGGTTAAGAACATGGTTTTTGGGAGGCAGACTCCTTGAGTTCAAATTCCTCTTCTGCATTCACTACCTGAATGACTCAACAAGTCGGTACACCACTTTGTGTCTCAGTCTCATCCTCTGTAAAGTTAAGATCATACTAGTGCCTATTTAATATCTAATAAAATTTAATGTACCAAAATTAGTTAGAATGGAGCCTGGTATATTTTAGATTTTGTATCCATATTAACTACAAATATCACTGAGAAGGCTCTGGCTTTTACATGGGGACTTTATGAACTTGCATGGTATGGAAAGGCTGTGCAGCTACTCATATTCTTGGTTAAAAAGTGACCCTTCTCTCCAATAATTTGGTTATATACTATGAAACCAAATATACACTCTTGACCTCTGTGAATTCCTGGGCTTCACTGCCTTCCATATGAAATGGGCTGCAGCAGTCTTCATTGTTAATTAAGTAATAGATACCACAGCCTGAACACCTTACATTTTTATTGTAGGAGCCTATGTTACCACCCTGCTGGTAGGATGGAAATTTAGACAAATGCCCTCAGGTTCCCGTAGAACTCATCAACACAATGCCAAGACTGTGAACTAAAACTCACATTCATAAATTAGCTTTTTAAGTAGCATGGTGTTTTTAATGGACTCCATGTGGCTTTTGAGAGAACACTGACTTGTAGCATAACTTTGATTTTTAGCTTAAACAAAACTCAGTAGGATATGCAATTTAAAAATCTTCTGTGATGTCAAGTTGATTTACACAGTTTTTTTTTAGTACATTAAGATTCTGTTATACAATTGTACTTATCTTTGAATTAAAGGTACAGTTACGGTTTCATCATTAATTTTGTATACTCATTCATTTGATAAATAAATCAAGAGCTTGTCTGGGAAAGTTTCAGGTAATATATTTCAGTCTCTTAATTGCTTCTTTCTTATTTTGTAGAACTCCACAAGAGCAACTTTTTAAAATGCTACCAGATACGTTCCCACATCCACATGAAACCACTGGTGATGCACAGTGTTCTCAAAATGAAAACGATGAAGATAGTGATGGTTAGTTCATACTTGATTAGATATTTTTAAAATGTATTGTCTCAAGTTATATACACTAAGCATTAATCAGAATCTGCTTTTGGTTTTCTTTAATATATTATTCTCAGTTGTACCATGTAATCTTTTCTCTTTAGATGAAAATCATGTACACTCACTTCTTTCCCTTTCCCTAGATATACTTTGCCTTGATTTAGATAGTTTCATTTAAAAATTGAATGCTAATAAATGTGTATTTCACTTGAACTGGGAAAATTGACAGTATTTGTATTTTTGTGTAGATACACATGAGAACACTCTTCTTTTTTGGTGGCTATCTTATTTGAAGAAATTATAAAGTAAGATATATTCTTTGATGATATTATTTGTGAATCTTATTTCCTAGGTGAGGAGACCAAAGTACAACACACAGCTCTTTTATTGCCAGTAGAAACATTAAACATAGAGAGACCTGAACCATCTCTAAAGATAGTCGAACTGGATGATGTAAGTGCATAAGTGCATAATGACCATTCATGATTTTTAACAGGGAATTCATAATGTATACTTACATCTGCATATTATTTTCAATAAGATTTCTCAAATAACTAACATAGTTTAATAGGAAATTTACAAGTGTTTGGGTTTAAATATGCTTATAAGAATAAAACAATATTATTCTGAATGTAAACAGTAAATTTGTGAGCTAAACTGGTATTGTCAATTTTTTTGGATGAATATATTATGGGAGGTAAGAAGACATTTCACTATTTTAACTTATAGATATGTAGTTTGATATTTTATTAGTTTAGTTCTCTATGTTATCAAGTTTTTAAACAAATATCAGTCTCGTTACATGGTACCTATTAAAATATAAGTGTAAATTTAGTTTCTTGAATGTCATTTAATATTATTTTCCGTTTAAATGTAGAAATAGTGTGTAAGACTTAAGAAGTTCAGTCAAATAACTTGAACATAACTTGAACATATGTAGAAGACACCAATAGCATCAACTAGAGCCAGACCCTGTCAGAGCTAGAGCTCTGGACTGAAGGTTTAGGGTGTGATACACTCAGTGCATTTCTGACTTTCTAGTAATATAGTAGCTGAATGTGCCACTTGTCCTAGATATTTCTCTTACTGTGGTTGTTAAGAAAATGACTAGAATGGAGAACTTACCTCTTTTAAATACTGCTTTCTTCCTTTCTTCTTTAGGTTGAAAGCTTCTGCTATTTTTGTTATTTGTGTTTTTTGGCTAACAACATTTTTATTTCTCCTCTGGATAAATTTGAGAGACTGGACAAAAACACACACACTACATACATGTGGGCATGCCATTCATTACATTGTTGATACACAGCGTAAGTTTATGATGAGCCAGTCAGAGAACTGACAACTTCCTAGTCACTAATCTACTTGGCAGGTAGTAGCTACATACTTAAATATAAGTTATTATTGTTGGATTGGGGTATTATAATAGTGATAAAGTAATTGACATATCAACCAATGTCAGTTGAATTTGTTTAGTTCTCCTAGAACTTATGTGTTATAAAATATAATTAGAGCTCTCATAACATCATTTGTAGGAAAAATGTACTCCAAATATCACCCATAAGTAAGTTGGTTAATGTGTAATAAATTTTTATGAACTTACTAATATTATATAACATTAATTTAATAAGACTTATGAAGAGGAATTTGAAGAAGCAGAAAATATTGTGCCTTACAAAGTTAAATTAGCTGATGCAGACAGTCAACGAAGGTAAAACCTTTCTAATTAACTTTGTGTGCATATTGAGCCCCCTCCTGACACACACACAAAATCATCTGTCTTTTTAAATGTGAAATATGTGGTGTGAAAAAACATGTGACATTAATGTCAGAGTATATTTTACTTAACCCATGCTTAAATATGTATACAATATTGCTGATATTTAATAACATTCAGCAATTAGAAAACTGTCTATAGTGATAGGTTTGTACTCTTACCTAATATTTGGATTATTTAATACATTCTTCTGAACTTAGGGGTTGTTATCCTCTGAAATGGTTGATCAACTTTGATATGTTTCATATGAGCTTTCTTCTTCTCTCTAAAGATACTCTGGATTTTGTTCAGTTTTCTATGAACCCTAAATAAAAAGTTTTATAAATGATTAGGCTGAGAGACTAAAAGAGCTCCTGTACTATAGATTACTTCCTAGGTAGATTTTAACGTATAATAAAGTAAACAAATGAAGTATAATGGTTCACTTTGTAATTGCGTTGTAGAATTTTCTCATTTCCAAATGAAAAATAATATCTAACTGTATCTGTTAGTAATGTTAAAACAGTTACTTTCTGCTGTTGAAACTTCAGGATTTGTAAACAGTGGAGTGGAATTCCTGTCAAGTATCCCCTCTACCAATTCTTGATTCAGATCAGTTTAGGCCCCCGTCCACATTTTGCAATAGCTATGGGCCTGAGTGATTCCCCTGAACAGAAAAATCCCATGTTTAGACACACAGAACCAGCTCTCTAGCAGCAAATGTGCTTTTGGAAGTGGGGTTTTGGCGGGAGACAACTTTCTGTTCAGCAGATAAGAGGTTTATATGCACCACTCTATCTCTAAGGAAATGAATAGCATTTCTGTTCTCTAATCGGATTCTTTTATATATCTTATCACATGTCTTTGCTTTGACTCCTATGTAAGGTGTTAGAGAAGGCAGAGAAAGTTACTGATCATGATTTGGCAGTAGTTTTACAGCTTTGGTTTGGAGGTGCCCATAGAACTACATTAATTTTCTCTCTCTCCTGGAGATCACGAGTGACACAAGAGGGCCTTTTCGGTTGAATATAATCCAGAAGTTTTATAATGGTATTCTGTAGAGCTTATATAAATATCAGGTATTACTAAATATATTATTCAGTTCATAAAGAATGTTATTTAAATTGTAACTATGCATATAGATAGTAATCATTATTAAACTTTGAAACCTAAATATCACATACTGCTTTTAAACTCATATCTTGTTGATGAACAAATAATATGTTTATCTAGTAGTAAAGCCTTGATTTCATCAGATTTTAATGAGCTTGAAAGAGAACACTCCCTTTTTAGAAGAAACTGTAAGAAATCAAACTTATTTCAATATATTTTGGAAAACAAACTTTCAACTGAAATTTTGCAGTTAAATTAGATTTGGTCCAGTTACCTATTCATCTTAAATCCACAGTGTTATTAGTTACTTATAGTTGAGAATGTGTTCACATAAGGTTAAAATAAATATTAAATTAATGTAAATAACCCTATTAAAGTTTTACTATATTTGTTTTAATGACTTGGGACTTTTAAAATTTTCTTTTTAAAATCATTTTTTCAACTCTATTATTTTGTTTGTTCCTACATGTGAAAGTTGTGCTTTTCATGATTGTCAGAAGAATAGCTTTCCATATGAAAATGGCATCCATCAACATCATGTTTTCGATAAGGGAAAGAGAGACTTCTTAAATCTTTGTCTGAGAAACAGCTCTACTTATTATAAAGATAATTCAAAAGGTAACATTTTTCTTGTTGCTGGATATTATTAACAGTGCATGTTGATAATTTACTATTGCAGTCTATAAAAGCTTTGTTATGCTGTTCATTTTAAAACCAAAAAAACCTCAGTACTAAAATGAAAATTAGTTGAAAATATAATTTTCTAGTAAATATGCAATTTAGTCAATGGACAACAGTGTTTGTATGTGTAAGAAAAATCAGCCAATATAGGGCACTCTAAAAGTTATTATAGACTCAGCTAGCATTTAAAAGATTACATGGAAGGCCTTTCAGTGACAAAAGTCTGACTGGCACCCTCTTGCTCTCACTTGCACTAAATATTTTTCAAAAATATTCAAATCTGATATAAAGTTTCACATGAGAGATGAACCAAAATAAAACAAATCACTGGCCGGGCTCGGTGGCTCAAGCTTGTAATCCCAGCATTTTGGGAGGCGAGGTGGGTGGATCACCTGAAGTCAGGAGTTTGAGACCAGCCTGGCCAACATAGCAAAACCCTATCTCTACTAAAAATAAAAATAAAAAAAATTAGCCTGGCATGGTGGCAGGTGCCTATAATCCCAGCTACTCAGAAGGCTGAGGCAGGAGAATCGCTTGAGCCCAGGAGGCAGAGGTTGCGGTAAGCCGAGATCACACCGTTGCACTCCAGCCTAGGCGACAAGAGCAAAACTCTGTCTCAAAAAAACAAAACAAAACACATCATCTTGCTTATATATCTATGTTGCTATTACTAGTAGTTCCCTAGGTACCTGTAGATTAGAATGCTGTGTTCATATGTGTGGTTTCAATTTCCAGATTGTGAGATCATTTAAAGACAGTCACAGCAAAGTATCCTGGCCTAGGAGTCAGATTTTGTTTCCATTTGTGCCTTTAAATCACTGTCTGACCTTGAACATCTCACTTACTTGCTTAGACTTCATTTTCCTAAGCAAAAATGTAGGAACTAGATAATTTTCAAGCCTCCTTTTAACTATTAGATTTGATCTACCTAGAATTTTAAGAAAAATTAATAAATATATCGTATGTGAAGATTAGATTTTTGAGAGATATCGGAGGGCATATTTGAAATAAATAGTTGTAAAACTGATGATTACATTCTGATTGGGCAGCAGAAGATAGAAAGCAGTGGTAGATTTGTGTAAATCCTGCTGGTCTTGACATTTTCAAATACTAAACCACTAAATTATTATGGCCAAATATAAAGTACAGCCACATGGGAATTTAGGGACAGTATTCCAATCTTGTCCTGAAGATGAGTATAGTTTGATCAAGCTAGTTCCTGATGTTCCTGTTGCCTCTAAGAAAATGATGCACATAAATGCCCATGTAATTGTTACTTTAAAGACACATTTTTGAAATGTTTACTTTTTAGAGCAGTTTTAGGTTCACAGCAAAACTGAGCAGAAAGTACAGAGAGTTCCTATATACCCTTTGCTCTATACACATACATAGCCTCCCCCATTATCAGCTTCTGCAACCAGACTGGTACATTTACTACAATGGATGAATCTACTTTGATACATTATTGTAACTCAGTGTCCATAGTTTATATTAGAGTTCACTCTTGGTATTGTACATGCTATGAGTTTTGACAAAAGTATAATGTGATACATATTCACCACTTATAGTATCATACAGAATACCTTCTCGTCCTAAAAATTCTCTGTGCCCCACCTGTTTATCCCTCTCTCTGACCAACTCCTGGCAACCACTGATTTTTTTTACTGTCCTCATAGTTTTGCCTTTCCAGAATGTCATATAGTTAGAATCATACAGTACATAGCCTTTAATAATTGGATTCTTTAACTTAATAATATGCATTTGAGGTTTCTCCTTGTCTTTTTGTGGCTTGATTTCTCATTTCTTTTAGTGCTAAATAATATTCAATTGTATGAATGTACAATAGTTTATTTATCAATTCACCTATTGAAGAACATTTTGGTTGTTCCAAGCTTTAGCAATTATGAACAAAACTACTATAAATATTCATGTATGGGTTTTTATTGGGACTTAAGTTTTCAACTTATTTGGGTAAATACCAAGGAGCATAACTATTGGATCATATGGTACAGGTATGTTTAGTTTTGTTTTAATAATTGCCAAACAGTCTTACCAAAGTAGCTGTACTATTTTACATTCCCACCAGCAATTAATGAAAGTTCCTGTTACTCCATATCCTCACCATCATCTGGTGCCAGTGTTTCAGAATTTTTCCATTCTAGCAATTGTGTAGTGATATTTCATTTTTTTTTTGATTTGCAATTCTCTGTTGACATATGATATCGAGAATCTTTTAATATGCTTATTTGCCAACTGTATATCTTTGTTAAAATATCTGTTCAGGTTTTTAGCTAATGTTTTGATTGGGTTGTTTATTTTGTTATTGTTGAGGTTTAAGAGTTTTTTGTATGTTTTGCATAACACTCTTTTATCAAATATCTTTTCCAAATATTTTCTTTCAGTGTATGGATTGCCTGTTTATTCTCTGGACTATTTTTCATAGTGTATAAGCTTTTATTTTAATAAAGTTTAGCTTATCAATTTTTTCTTTGATGTTGTATCTAGAAAGTTATTGTCATAGCCAGTGTCATCTATGTTTTATCCTATGTTATCTTTTGAGAGATTCATAGCTTTGCATTTTATATTCAGGTGTGTAATCTATTTTGAGTTAATTTTTGTGAAGGTGTAAGGTCTGTGTCTATATATATTGTTTCACATGTGGATATCCAGTTGTTCCAGAATCATTTGCTTAACAGATTATATTTTCTTTGTTGTATTGCCTTTATTCTTCTCTCAAAGATCAGTTGACTGTATTTATATAGGTCTACTCAGGATTCTCTATTCTGTTTCATTTATCTATTTGTCTACATTTATTCCAATACCACACACTCTCTTGATTGTTATAGATTTATAGTAATCTTGATGTAAGGTAGTATCAAGTCTTCTGACTTTGCTCTTCTTCGATATTGTGTTCACTATCCTGGGTCATTTGTTTCTCTATAAAAAGGCGGGGATTTTGATTGGGATTGCAATGAATCTATAGATCAAGTTGGGAAAAAATATCTTAACAATATTAAATCTTCCCATCCATGAACATAGAATATTTCTCTATTTATTTAGAATTTTGATTTCTTTAATCAGAATTTGTAGAATTCCTCATATAGATCTTGTATATAATTTTTAGATTTCTATCTATGATATGGCTTGGCTCTGTGTTCCTAACCAAATCTCATCTCAAATTGTAATCCCCATGTGTCAAGGGAGGGACCTGGTGGGAGGTGATTGGATCATAGGAGTGGTTTCCTCCATGTTGTTCTCATGATAGTGAGTGAGTCCTCGTGAGCTCTGATGATTTAAAAGTGTGTGGCAGATCCCCAGCCCTCGCCAACATGTAATACATGCCTTGCTTCCCCTTCACCTTCTGCCATGATTATAAGACTCCTGAGACCTCCCAGCCATGTGGAACTGTGAGTCAATTAAGCCTCTTTCCTTAATAAAGTACCCAGTCTTAGGTAGTTCTTTATAGCAGTTTAAAAATGGACTAACAGAGAAAATTGGTACCAGAAAAGTGAAGTAGTGCTGTAAAGATACCTGAAAATGTGGAAGTGACTTTAGAACTCGGTAACAGGCA
This sequence comes from Homo sapiens, assembly GCF_000001405.40. Taxonomy (NCBI): domain Eukaryota; kingdom Metazoa; phylum Chordata; class Mammalia; order Primates; family Hominidae; genus Homo; species Homo sapiens. The sequence goes on along the minus strand of NC_000003.12, from coordinate 167,310,339 downwards.
GAGGTTAGAACAGTTTGGAGGGCTCAGAAGAAGAAAAGAAGATGTGGGAAAGCTTAGGACTTCCTAGAGACTTGTTGAATGATTTTGACCAAAATGCTTATAGTGATAATGGACAATGAAGTCTAGGCTGAGATGGTTTCAGATGGAAATGAGGAACTTATTGGGAACTGAAGTAACGGTCACTTTTGCTATGCTTTAGCAAAGAGACTGGCAGCATTTTGGCCCCCTCCTCAAACTAGACATCTGTGGAATTTGAACTTCAGAGAGATGATTTACAGCATCTGGCAGAAGGAATTTCTAAGCAGCAAAACAAAGCATTCAAGATGTGACCTGGCTGTTTCAAAAAGCATATAGTCATATGCATTCACAAAGAAATGGTATGAAACTGGAAATTATGTTTAAAAGGGAAGCAGAGCATAAAAGTTTGGAAAATTTGCAGCCTGACCATGTGGTAGAAAAGAAACACCCATTCTTTGGGGAGAAATTCGAGCCACATGCTGCAGAAATTTGTATAAATAAAGAGGAACCAACTATTGATTGCCAAGACAATGGGGAAAATGTCTCTAGGGCATTCCTGAGATCCTCACAGCATCCCCTCCCATTACTGGCCTGTAGGCCTAGAAGGGAAAAATGGTTTCATGGGCCAGGCTCAGGGCCTCACTGCTCTGTTCACCCTCAAGACATGGTACTCTGTCCCAGTGGCTCCAAGTGCAGTCAGGGTTAAAAGGGGCCAAGATACAGCTTGGACCTTGGATTCAGAGGGTGCAAGCCCCAAGCCTTGGTGGCTTCCACATGGTGTTGGGCCTGTGAGTCACAGAAGATAAGACTTGAGGTTTGGAAACCTCTGTCTAGATATCAGAGGATGTACAGAAATGCCTAAATGTCCAGGTAGAAGTCTGTTGCAGAGGCAGAGCACTCATGGAGAACCTCTACTAGAGTGGTGCAAAGGGGAAATATGTGGTAGGAGCCCCCACACAGAGTAACCACTGGGGCACTGCCTAGTGCAGCTGTGAGAAGAGAGCCACCATCCTCCAGACCACAGAATGGTAGATCCACTGACAGCTTGCACCATGCAAGCCAGTGGTGTTAGACAGCAAGTTTTATTAAAGTAGCAGTGTACAGCAGTGGCAAAGGCAGTGTTCCTTTTGGAACAGATTTACCCCATAAGCACTGTACCCAGAGTAGCATCTCAGAGGTGGCTCTGCAGTAATATTTTTAGCCACTTTTAATTACATGCAAATTAAAAGATGAGTTACTCAGAAATTTCTGGAAAAGGGGTGGCAACTTCTGGGTCATCAGGTTGTTGCTGGGGAAACAGGTGATAACTTCCAGATGTTGCCATAGCAGTGGTAAACTGACATGTCACTGGTAGGCATGCCTTTTTTTAACTTTTAAGTTCAGGGACACACGTGTAGTTTTGTTACATAGGTAAACTTGTGTCATGGGGGTTTGTTGTACATATTATTTCATCATCCATTTATTAAGCCTTGCACCCATTAGTGATTTTTCCTGCTCCTCTCCCTCCTACCACCCTCACCCTTCAATAGGCCCCAGTGTGTGTTGTTCCCCTCTAAAGTGTCCATGTGTTCTCACCATTTAGCTTCCTCTTATAAATTATAAACTAGTGCTTAGTTTTCTGTTCTTTTGTTAGTTTGCTAAGGATAATGGCCTCCAGCTCCATCCATGTCCATGCAAAGTACATGATCTTGTTTTTCTTCATAGTATTCCATGGTGTATATGTACCACATTTTCTTTATCCAGTCTGTCATTAATGAGCATTTGGGTTGATTCCCTGTCTGTGCTATTATAAATAGTGCTGCATTGAGCATACATATACATGTATCTTTATAATAGAATGATTTATATTCCTTTGGGTATATACCCAGTAATGAGATTGCTGGGTTGAATGGTATTTCTGTCTTTATGTCTTTGAAAATCACCATGCTGTCTTCCATGATGGTTGAACTAATTTACATTCCTACCAACAGTGTATAAGTGTTCCTTTCTCTGCACAACCTCACCAGCATCTGTTATTTTTTTTACTTTTTAATAATATCCATTCTGACTGGTGTGAGATGGTATCTCATTGTGGTTTTGATTTGCATTTCTGTAATGATGAGTGATGTTGAGCTTCTTCTTATAGGATTGTGGTCACATGTATGTCCCTTTTAGGAAAGTGTCTGCTCATGTCTTTGCCCACTTTTTATTGAGATTGCTTTTTTCTTGCAAATTTCTTTAAGTTCCTTATAGAAGGTGGTTCTTAGAGCTCTGTTGAATTCATGGTTTGCAAAAGTTTTCCCCCATTCTGTAGTTTGTCCGTTTATTCTGTTGATAGTTTCTTTCACTGTACAGAAGCTCTTTAGTTTAATTGGATCCTATTTGTCAATTTTTGCTTTGCTGCTATTGCTTTTGGCATCTTTGTCATGAAATCTTTGCCTATACCCATGTCCTGAATGTTATTGCCTAGATTGTCTTCCAGGGTTTTCATAGTTTTGGGATTTACATTTAAGTATTTAATCTATCTTGAGTTAATTTTTGTATATGGTATAAGGAAGGGGTCCAGCTTCAATCTTCAGCATATGGCTAGCCAGTTATCCCACCATCATTTTTTGAATAGGGAATCCTTTCCCCATTGCTTGTTTTTGTCAGGTTTGTTGAAGGTCAGATAGCTGTAGGTGTGTGGTCTATTTTCTGGGTTTTCTATTCTGTTCCACTGGTCTATGTGTCTGTTTTTGTACCAGTACCATGCTATTTTGGTAACTCTTCAGTATAGTTTGAAGTTGGGTAGCATGATGCCTCCAGTTTTGCTCTTTTTGCTTAGGATTGCCTTAGCTATTGGAGCTCTTTTGGCTCTCAGCTTGACTGTCATTGGTGTATAAGAATGCTAGTGATTTTGCACATTGATTTTGTATTCTGAGACTTTGCCAAAGTTATCAGCTTAAGAAGCTTCTGGGCTTAAGCTATGGGGTTTTCTGGATTTAGCATCATGTAGTCTGCAAACAGAGATAGTTTGACTTCCTCTCCTACTATTTGGATGCCCTTTATTTCTTTCTCTTTCCTGGTTGCCCTTGCTAGGACTTCCAATATTATGTTGAATAGGAGTGGTGAGAGAGGGCATCCTCGTCTTGTGCCAGTTTTCAAGGGGAATACTTTTGCCCTTTCAGTATGATGTTGGCTCTGGGTTTGTTATATATGGTTCTTATTATTTTGAGATATATTCCTTCAATACCTAGTTTATTGAGAGATTTTAACATGAATGAATGTTGAATTTTGTCGAAAGCCTTTTCTGCACCTGTGTGGGTGTGTCTTATGGAGAGAGGTACTTTTGACTTCCTTGTTTCCACTAGTTCTAAATACTATCTGAAATTGGTGAGTTATATAAACATTTGATTGCAACAAGCAAGTCCTTTGTAAAGCTGTAAAGCATTTACATCACAGGAGACAGTTTTATTCAGAGTTTCTACTATTTTACATAGTCTACTTATAGAGATATTTGTCTTTGGAACAGAGTAAGGGATAACCAGAAGAAGCTATATTCAGTCTGGATAATGGTGTACATTTATTTAAAATGAAAGTAGTATGGTATAAACATTCAAAGAATTTTTATTTTTCAGAAAATCTAGACCAGTGTTTCACTACTGTGTTACCCACTATAATCACCTGGACAACTTAGCAAGGGGAAGTTCAAAAGACCAATGCCTGAGTTCCACTCTCAGGATCTGATTTAATTGGTTTGGGGTCAGGCCCATACACTGACAATTTTAAAGAGTGCCTTCAGATGATTCTACTGTGCAACCAGGTTAAAAACCGGTGATGTAAACCAAATGATTTATTTAAAGCAGACATAATGAGGTAGATGACTAATACAATCTTGTTCACTTTGTAGCTTTCTAGAAGCAGGTGTCCCTGCTACACATTTTCTGTGCCCCCAACTGCTGCTCTTCTTTCATCTGGCACATTTCCCTGTGCCCTCTCTTTATTGCTAGGCATGCTAGGGAAAAATGGCAAAATGAAAAAATGTTCCCCCTGTGTTACTTCTCATGAATTACTGTTGTAAAATTTGAGTGAGAGGAGGAGGTGGGAAAGTGAGAATTGAACCACAGGCTGAAATAAAAATTTGCATCAATTTTAAGATTTCATTGCAAAATAAAATATTACCTTCTTTTACTAGTCTAGCTCATTAATGTTTGGTTCTATAAGTGAATTATGATTACCACTTATGAATATAAGCATAGTAAAAATATTTTAACACTAAAACATCAGTAAAGGAATTTGTGAAATAGTGTTTATTGAGAAAGTTTTTTTACCACAGAACTTTTGGTTTATTAACAGTTTAATTATTTGTTTAAATTTATTTATGTACCTTTTGTAACTGTGTGTTTTTAACAGCAGAAACTTCAAACACAGATTTTGACAACATCGTGGATCCTGATGTGTATTCTTCTGACATTGAAAAAATTGAGGAAAGCACCTCCTTTGAAAGAAATTTAAAGGAGAAAAATATAGGTTTAGAAAGTAATCAAAAGTCTGATGATTCCTGTGTATCACTTGAAAGCAAGGACACTTTGCTAGGTAGAGATTTAGAAAAAGCTCCCATTGAGGAGAAATTATCTCAAGACATCAAAGAATCCTTGGAATTGAGCAATCTGTATAAGAGGCCAAGCTTTGAAGAATCAAAAACTACAAAGTCATCACTGGTAAATCTCTATTATGTTTATTATATTAAAATTTTATAAGAAACCTCATAAGAAAATGTCTTAGTGACACAATACATTCTCAAGTTACTTCCTATTAAAGTTAAAATGTGCTGCCTTATATTATTATGAGATAGTTGAAGAGTGACTCATACGGGAGAGAACATTAATGGCCTCTAGGACAAATTCTAATATGAGGAATGCCATTTTAATAAATGGCTTTCTGTGATAAATGATACTTTAAGGCCCACCTTATGCAGCATAGTAAGAGCATGGAAAAGTAACAACTTTTCCAAATGAAATTCATTATGAATAATACAGTATAATAAATACTTTCTAGTTTTTTCCGATAATATAGTCAATGGTCAAAATGAAATAAATGCAGATATCTAGACAGAACCAGTTACTGTGGTTTAATGTAAGTATAAGATGAAGAAGGTAATTCTTTCAGGAAGATGGCTAATAAGGAAATAGAGGTGTAGATTTTGTTTCTTCTCATAGGAAAGGTAAAGTAGCTCATTATTGCATTGTTACCATGTTTTAAAACTATATTTGAATTTCATTCTATATACTAGAAATCTTTACTAATTGTAATTATTAATAATACATTCTTAGGAAATTTAAGTGAGGCAAACATTTTTAACAATGCTTAAAAGTCATTTAAAATGAATTCCTATGGTTCCTGAAGAGGGAAGCAAAAAAGCAGAAGGATGAATACTTGAGTTGCTGCTACTTCTGCTTGGAGGATTGGCTTTCTGTGCCCACTTTGTGGCAGATATTGTACCTTTGTGAGATAAGAAATTGGAACTGAGTCCTCTGCAAAAACTTAGACCCCTAAATGTCTGATCAGTCATTAAAGGAGTGCACTAGGAACATACCCATAGGTGCAACAAGATGAAAGGAAACTGATCTCTGCAAGTGATCTGGGCTAGGCCAATAAAACGTTTCACCTGGAAAATAGATATCTTGGGCTTTCATTTAGCATAGGTTTGGATATACATACCCAAATATACATTTGCATATGTATTTCTTGCTTGGAAACTTGAAGCCAAGACATTAACATTATTGTTAATCCGTGCCTATTAATATCCTGATGTATCTGACAGAAGTAAGTACTAATACTTTATAAAAGGACATGCTTACACCTTATCCCACAATAGATTCCACAAAATAAAGCTCCACTTCAGATGGGCTTATCTTCTCGTTCCCCCAGTGAAGAAAACGATTGATCATAGCATGCATTTCAGCAGAGAAAACAAGAACTTCAATTTCCAGATTTCCACAGGGCAACATGAAGAGTACCAGGTGACATCTATATAAACAGTGAGCTGTGTAATAAGTGAGGAATCCTGACCTTAAGAAACCCGATCTTTTACACTGGGCAGTAAGCCTGCCAGACCTTTGTCCTAGAGGAAGACTATCTTCATTACACTAGACAGTAAACAAACCTGCTCTTTGCTCTAGAGAGAGAGACTCAATCTCTATCCTGTGAGACTATATTTAAAATGTTTAAAAATAGAAAGGAAGAAATAAAAAGAACTTAAGAATAAGACAGTATGGACTGCTCCATTTATGAAGGCCAATAAAAATTTCTAACATTCGAAATATATTTATTCAAATTATAATAAAATGGATATAAACAGCATATTAAATACAAATAAGGAGAGAAATATTACCCTGGAAGATAAGTTTAAAAAATTGCTTGTATTGCAGCAAAGACATATGAAGAGTTAGTAATATGACAGATTGTGAAATAACAAAGTACAATTCCTGAACAATATAAATAAAAACAAATTCGCATTATGACTTATTTTTGAGATACCTCATAGACAATCTTAAAAGCAATAAAAGACAACAGATAATTATCTCCAAAGAGCAATTACTAGATTGACATTAAATTCTCATGCACAGCAACAGATAGCCTCAACAGTGTAACACAGTGGAACATTATCTTTAAACTTCCAATAGAACTGACTAACAATCTAGAATTCTAAGGCTTGCAAAACTTTCATTCAAGACCAAGAATAAAATAATGGCAAGTTTAGAGAAAAATTCAGGTAATTTAGTTATTTCGCCTCTTGAATGAACATCTGAATGATATACTTAAAAAAGGAAGAAATTAAACCTGGAAGGAAGAAGTAGGATGCAAGAAATAATGGTGTGAGGGGAAAATGGCAAATATATTAGATGTATTACAAAATAATTATTAGAATGCCCAATTTGAGAATTATAAAAGAAGAAATTTGAATGAGGATAATATGTACCATAACTTGTAAGACTGTTAGATATGTATGATTAGAGTTAAAAGTACTAAGATTCTGTATTATAAAGGAAGGTAGAGATCATTGTAGGGATTGTTGACTTAGTGTTTTAGTTATACATGTTAAATACTTTGAGTAACAATTAAAATGTTACAGACATAATGTATGTCATCCAAAATACTAAAGGAAAAGGGGACCATAGAAAATCCAATTAATTAAAACAGTCAGGAAATAAATGCATCAAAGGAAAAATAGTATAGTTAAGTATTGGGTGTACAATTCCTCTTGGGTCTCTCATGTTTTTTTGCACATCTTTTGAGCAAAACCACTGACTCTATTTGTTCCAAAGTATATTTTCAAGGGTGCTTGTATAGATAACAGCCTTGAAATATAGAGATTATGTCCCTCTTCAGAGCAAAGACTAGGTTTGTTTACTGTCTGGTGTAATAAAAATAATGTTTTCCTCTGGCAAAGGTCAGGCAGGCTTACTGCCCAGTATAAAATAATTGGATTTCCTAAGATCAGGATTTCTCTCCTGTAACACAGCTCAGGGTATGTGCAGATGTCACGTGGCTCTCTTCATGATGTCCTGTGAAAACTGGGTTCTGGGAATTGGTGCAAATGATGATACTCTGGCAACTGCTATTGTTGTGAGTGATAAAGTCATTTGTCTCTGACCAAGGAGTCTTGTGTCTTCGTCCAGCATCCATGAAACTATAACAGGCTTGCACGTAGGATAAAATCTCAGACCCTTCACAATTCTTGACAGCAAGTAGAAAGAGTAAAGCTGACGGGAATAAACCCAATCATATAAGTAATTAGAATAAATGTGGATAGTGTGTGTGTGTGTATAGTTATTTTACCAGAAACCTGCTTAAAACATGGGGTGGGGGGAGGAATTTCAGAGTAAAGGCAAGCACTAATTTAAAAAAAAATTTAAGGTAATAAAACATTATCAGGGTAAAGGGGACCATTATGTACATGATAAAATCAACTATTTAATAGAAAGATTAAAGGAAATCTGAATTTGTATGTACCTATCAATATAGCCTCAGATATATTGTAGCAAAAATGGACAAAACCACATGGTATTATTGACAAATCCATCAATCCAATAAGATTTTCTATTAGTAAAGATAGAGAAGATTTGATCAATACAAATAAGTTTAAAGAACATATTTTGAACCACATACTCAATAATTAGAGAATGTGTGTTCTTTGTAAGAACACATGGAACATTTACAAAATACATGTTACAACACATTACAAAAATAAATCCACAAAGGAAGTTTCAACAAATGCTAAAGAAATCATATTACACACGGTGTTTTCCAACCATAATACAATAAATTATAAATCGATAGCAAAATGCTAACAAAATTAATACAATTCAAATATGTCTAGGTTTTTTTTTTTTTTTTTTTTTTTTTAACGGAGTCTTGCTCTGTTGCCCAGGCTGGGGTGCAGTGGTGCCATCGTGGCTCACAGCAAGCTCCGCCTCCCGGGTTCCCGCCATTCTCCTGCCTCAGCCTCCCGTGTAGCTGGGACTACAGGCGCCCACCAGTACGCCTGGCTAACGTTTTGTATTTTTAGTAGAGATGGGGTTTCATCGTGTTAGCCAGGATGGTCTCGATCTCCTGACCTCGCGATCCAACCGCCTTGGCCTCCCAAAGTGCTGGGATCACAGGCATGAGCCACTGCGCCCGTCCAAATATGTCCAGGTTAATGAAAAAATTAAAATAGAAGGTAGAAATATTTAGAACTGAATGTAAGCAAAAACATCACAGGTAAATAATGTATAGGATGAAACTCAAATACTACTTACTGGGAAATTTATAATCCCAAATGCAAGAAAAAAGTAAAAATTAATGAACTATGAATCTGACTCAAAAGTAATAAAGCAGTAATAAACTCAAAGGAATTCACTGGGAAAACTCTTTCCTGCCGTTCTCTTCAATTCAGTAGGAGAGGATAAGGAAACATGTATTGCCCTCAGGCCCTGCCTATTTATCCAATCCACTTTCTCAGGGAATCTTTCATTTAGTTAGATAGTCTGATGATTTGCATCCCATTGAATTCCTGGTCTACTCTCAACTGATCAGAGTCTGTCAGGATAGCTGTGACTTACATAGCACCAATAATTTACAGCAGGGTTCCTTTCCTTCTTTTATATGTTAATGCATACTACTCTATTCAATTAATGTAACAGGTGTGTCACTAAGTTTAGATGTTTCTTAAAAGGAAGGTGTGTGACATGAACATATAGAGGGGAACAGCATACACTGGGGCTTATCAGAGGGTGATGAGTGGGAGGAGAGAGAGAATTAGAAAAAATAACTAGTAGGTACTAGGCTTAATGCCTAGGTGATGAAATAATCTGTACAACAAATCTCCATGACACAAATTTACCTATGTAACAGACCTGCACAAGTACTCCTGAACTTAAAAGTTAAAAAAAAAAAAAAAAAAGGCCAGGCACAGTGGCTCACGCCTGTAATCCCAGCACTTTGGGAGGCTGAGGTGGGTGGATCACAAGGTCAGGAGTTCAAGACCAGCCTGGCCAACATGGTGAAACCCTGTCTCTATTAAAAATACAAAAATTAGCTGGGCGTGGTGGCAGGTGCCTGTAATCCCAACTACCCAACTACTCAGGAGGCTGAGGCAGGAGAATCGATTGAACCCGGGAGGCGGAGGTTATAGTGAGCTGAGGTCGCGCCATTGCACTCCAGCCTGGGTGACAGGGTGAGACTCTTATCTCGTAAAAAAAAAAAAAAAGGGTTGGTGGGGGAGATGGGAATGTGTGTGTGGCTGGTATACATTCTTGTTTTATTCAATTTAAGACTATCCATTGCTCAGTATAAAATATTGCTCAGTGTAAAATATGTTCTGACAGAGCTAGTTCAGGAAACAATCTGAATGAGTGTTTAAGTGCATAGGATCCATAAAGTTCTCAGCAGCTCAAAGCTGCTGACATAATCAAAAACCAGTGACTGTTGTAAAATGGCTTACATGGTTATTGTTTTTTTTCAATTAGGTGAGACTAAAGGTAGTCCTGGACAGTAATAAAATAGTGTTAGGTAAAGCTTGCCTTTTCCTCATGGGGGATATTGGATTGAGAGATTTGAAGTTTTTTCAGGAATAATCTGTCATAGGATTTTAAAAGAATTCTCAACAAACTAATGGGTTTCTGACTCCAGGATTGCCCCTTTTATAAATAAAATAATGTTTTAATCCATTCCTAGGTAATTATATCTGAGGAATAAAAAAGTGTAAATAGTTTCACAGAAATTTTCCACCACTGGTAAGACAGGACTTAAGCTGAGTGCCAAAGGTTCTCCCTGAGCATCTTATTATAGGAGATGGCCAATCTCTATAAATAATTAAGTTGTTGGATCACAAGAGAATTTGAAGAGTTGCAAAACAAAAGGTGAAAAGCAGGTGGAGGGGAGCTGTAAAATAGAGCTTTCTAAAGTGGCCATCATAATTGGTACTTCACAGTTTGCAGACTGAGTTCCTGCTTCTGAATAAAGTGGTTGAATCTACTTTCTTTTCATTCCTAAGAACTATACCTGAACCTATTTCCCTCTTTTTCTGTCCTAGTAGAAGCCATTCCATCAGAAGAAATGACTTAGAAATCTATGGTGCTCCATCCAAATTGAGTATAAAATTGTTCATTTTGTACTTCAGTTTTCAGAAAATGATTTCTGTGTAAGGTAGTACTTCCTACGGAATTAAGTACTAATTTGTAGGGCAGTAGTTAGGAAAACAATGGACTAGTTAGGGGTCCTTTGTTCTGGCTCTAAAACTATCAATAGTTAACTTTGTAAGTTTGTGCTAAAAGTAGACAAAACATAACTATTTTAGGATTTTTATCTGTAAACCAAGACATTCAAAACTCTTCCAGATTTGCGATTGCATAATTCAAATATAAGCTTCAGTAGAGTGGAAAGAATTCTGTAATTGTTTATTGGTGTCTGGGAGGGCCAGGGGATATGTGCTGAGAATTTTGATTTCGATTTGTCTTTGAATGACATGCTTTATTGGTCACTAGCTTTGTTCTTTAATATGATCTCATTTATATAATTTATAAATTTATAAAAAATTAAAGCAAGTTGCTTTACATTGATTTATGGGAACAGACTATATTTGGGCATTAGTTAGATTCATTACGGAATTATTAAAAACTGATAGCTACTCTGATTATACTATAACCTCATCTAGAGCTCTTACTAATGAATTCCTAATCTGTTTCTACTGGATTCACATTTTTTAAAATCCCAGTTATATTCAATCCTAGAATAAGAACATGTAAAAATGAATTAATAGGGTGGCAGGATAAGTCTAGGTTTCAAATCAGGCAGACCTATATTCAAAGCCTAGGTCTGCTAGTTTCTAGCTATATAAACGTCATAAATTACTTATCTTCCTCTTGCCACAGTTTCCTACTTTATATTTGCTTCATGATGAGTGTTTTGTTAACTTACATTTTTTTTTCCATGACCATTGTCAGGGCAGATAGTTCCCATTGGTATTTCACCTTCAGTTTTGAAATTATTTTATATATAGACAAAGACACTAGTTCAAAGCCACTGCGTGTGAAAGTAACTCTGTATTCCAGGATAATTTATGTGCAAAGACACTGAGGGATGAAAATAAAGGAAGAAAGAGAAAAAAAGTTTATTTTATTTCATGAACTTCTGTCCTCTTTGGATTAGTATCAACTTTCAGAGAATTACTGTAACTGTAGTTAGAACTTCCTATATATAAATGTTGTTTTATTATTTGTCTCCACTGTTAGAAACTAAACTTGATGAGGGAAGAATTTGTGCCAAGTATATCAGATACCAAGTAGGTATCTGATAAATGAATATGCTTGTTTGTGTTAATGAGTTAGAAAATAATATTGTTGAATATTTTGTTTCTTAGTTGTTACAAGAAATAGCCTGCAGAAGTAAGCCTATAACAAAACAATATCAAGGACTTGAGAGATTCTTTATTTTTGATACAAATGAAAGACTCAACTTACTTCCTTCTCATCGTTTAGAATGCAACAATTCCAGTACTAGGATTACACTTGCAGGTAAATTTCTAGCTCATTTTTCTAAAACAGTCTGTTCTCATCTTAGGAAATACTGAGCAATTCTGTTCAATGGATAAAATCATTTTCTTCTTGCCAGCCTAAAATTATTAACCTTGTATTAGTTGCCATATATTTACATTTAAGGTTACTATCAGAATGTGAGAAACTATGACTTACAATGAAACTAGGAAAGATTTTTTAGCATTTAGAAGTGTGGTTATTTTAGACCTTTTAGTGTTGCTGTAAAGGAATAACCAAGGCTACATAATTTATAAATAAAAGAAGTTTATTTGGCTTAGAGTTCTGCAAGCTGTATAAGTAGTATGGTGCCAGCATCTGGTTGGTGTTTTACATTACTGCCAACAGGGCACAAATGTTCCGATTATTACATATTCTTGACAATACTTGTTCTTTTATTTTTTTGGTGGGGTCGGGGGGAGAATAGTCATCCTCATGGGTCTGAGGTGGTACAATATTGTAGCTTAGATTTGCATTTTCCTAATGATTAATAATGTTAAGCATCTTTTCATGTGCTTAATAAGTAATTTGTATATACTCTTTGGAGAAATGTCTATTCAATTCCTTAGCTCTTATTTTAATTGGGTTATTTGTTTTTTCATTGTTGAGTTATAGGAGTTCCTTATTATATTCTGGATACTGCTTCTTCTTAAGATATATTATTTGCAACTATTTCCTCCCATTCTGTGGATTGCCCTTTTACTCTGTTGATAGTGTCTTTGGATGCAGTTTTTTTCCAGTTTTTATTAAGTCCAATTTGTCTACTTTTGTGGCTGCTCTTGCCTGTTCCTTCAGTGTCATATTTAAGAATTCATTTCCAAAGCCAATGTCCTGGGCCTATACTTTCTTCTAAGGTATTTGTAGTTTTAGGTTTTACATATAGGTCTTTGATCGATTTGAGTTTATTTTTGTACATGGTATCAAAGGTCCAGATTCATTATTTTGCGTATGGATATCAAGTTTTCCAGCACCATTTGTTGAAAAGACCTTTCTTTCCCCCATTGAATGGTCTAGGCACCCTTGTCAAAAATTATTTGGCTGAGAGAGTGAATTTTAAGTGTTCTCACCACACACACAAAAAAATGATTGGTGAGATAATACATATGTTAATTAACTTGATTTAGCAATTCCACAATATATACATATTTCAAAATAAGTTTTATACCATAAGGATACTTTTTAAAAAATCATTATAATTTGATTGTATATGTGAGGGAGGATATATTTCTGGGTTGTTTATCCCATTTCATTGGTCTGTATGTCTGTCTTTTTACTGGTATCACACTGTTTTGATTACAGTATCTTTGTAATAAGTTTTGAAATCAGAAAGTGTGAGTCTTCCAGCTTTGCTCTTGTTTTTAATATTGTTTTGGCTATTCAGGGTCCCTGGTGATTGCATGTGAATTTTATGATGGGTTTTTTTATTTCTACGAAAAATGTCATTGAGCTTTTGATAGGGATTATATTGAATGTGTAGATCACTTTGGGTAACATTGGCACCTTACCACTATTAACTCTTCCAGTTCATGAACATGAGATATGTTTCTTTTTATGTGTGGCTTCTTTAATTTCTTTCAGCAATGTTTTATAGTTTTCATTGCATAAGTCTTCCACCTCCTTGGTTATGTTGATTTCTAAGTTTGTTTCTTTTTTAGGCTGTTGTGAATGGAATTGTTTCTTTAATTTCCTTTTCCGATTGTTCATTGTTAGCATATAGAAATACAACTGGTATTTGCCTATTGACTTTGTATCCTACTACTTTGCTGATTTCATTTATTCTAACATATTTTTGTGGAATCTTTAGTGTTTTCTACATATAAGATCACACCATCTGTGAACAAAGATAATTTTACTTCTTCCTTTCTAATTCAAATGTCTTTTATTTCTTTTTCTTGTCTGTTCTGGCTACTTATATTGAATAGAAGTAGCAAAAGCAGGCATCCTTGCCTTGCTCTAGATCTTAGAAATGTTCTATTTTTCACCATTGAGTTTGATGTTTGCTGTGGGTTATTAGCATATTACTTTTATTGTGTAGAGGCATTTCCCTTTTATTCCTAGTTTGTTGGTTGTTCTTATCATAAAAGTGTGTTGGATTTTGTCAAATACTTTTTCTGCATAAATTGAGATGATTATGTGTTTTTTTCTTTCATTCTATAAATGTAGTGTATTACACTGATGGATTTTCATATGCCGAACCATCCTTACATTTCAGAAATAAATTTTATTTGATCATGATGTATAACCGTTTTTAATATGCTGCCGAATTTGGTTTGCTTGTACTTTGAAGATTTTTACATCACTGATTATAAATGATATTGTTCTGATGTTTTCTTTACTTGTAGTGTCTTTATTTGGCATTAGTATCAACGAGTTGATGTCCCTCCTCTTCAATCTTTTGGAAAAGTTTGAGGACTGGTGTTATTTCTTCAAATGTGTGATAGAACTCACCACTAATGCAATTAGGTCCAGGACTTTTCATTATTGGCAAATTTTTGTTAACAGATTTAATCTCCTTACTAGTTTTTTTTATATATATATATATATATATATATATATATATATATATATATATATATTCCAATTTTTTGTTTCTTCATGATTTTTTTTTAAAATTTCACTTTAAGTTCTGGGTACATATGCAGAACATGCAGGTTTGTTACATAGGTATACACGTGCCATGGTGGTTTGCTGCATCCATCAACCCATCACTACATTAGGGATTTCTCCTAATGCTATCCCTCCCTTATCCCACCACCCCCCAACAGGCCCCAGTGTTTGATGTGTCCATGTGTTCTCATTGTTCAACTCCCACTTATGAGTGGGAACATGTGGTGTTTGGTTTTCTGTTCTTGTGATAGTTTGCTGAGAATGATGGTTTCCAGTGTCATCCATGTCTCTGCAAAGGACATGAACTCATCCTTTTTTATGGCTATATAATATTCCATGGTGTATATGTACCACACTTTCTTTATCCAGTCTATCATTGATGGGCATTTGGGTTGCTTCCAAGTCTGCTATTGTGAACAGTGCTGCAATAAACATATGTGTGCATGTGTCTTTATAATATAATGATTTATAATCCTTTAGGTATATACCCAGTAATGGGATTGCTGGGTCAAATGGTATTTCTAGTTCTAGATCCTTGAGGAATTACCACACTGTTTTCCACAATGGTTGAACTAATTTACACTCCCACCAACAGTGTAAAAGGATTCCTCTTTCTCCACATCCTCTCCAGCATCTGTTGTTTCCTGAATTTTTAATGATCACCATTCTAACTGGCGTAAGATGGTATCTCATTGTGGTTTTGATATGCATTTCTCTAATGACCAGTGATGATGAGCTTTTTGTTTGTTTGTTTGTTGGCTGCATAAATGTCTTCTTTTGAGAAGTGTCTGTCATATCCTTTGCCTACTTTTGGATGGGGTTGTTTGTTTTTTTCTTGTAAATTTAAGTTCCTTTTAGATTCTGAATATTAGCCCTTTGTCCAATGGATGGATTGCCAAAATTTTCTTCCATTCTGTAGGTTGTCTGTTCACTCTGATGATAGTTTCTTTTGCTGTGCAGAAGCCCTTTAGTTTAATTAGATCCCATTTGTCTATTTTGGCTTTTGTTGCCATTGCTTTTCGTGTTTTAGTCATGAAGCCTTTGCCCATGCCTATGTCCTGAATGGTATTGCCAGGTTTTCTTCTAGGGTTTTTATGGTTTTCGTTCTTACATTTAAATCTTTAACCTATCTTGAGTTAATTTTTGTATAAGGTGTAAGGAAGGGATCCAGTTTCAGTTTTATGCCTATGGCTAGCCAGTTTTCCCAACACCATTTATTAAATAGGGAGTCCTTTTCTTTTAGTTGTTTTTGCCATGTCTGTCAAAGATCAGATGGCTATAGATGTGTGGCATAATTTCTGAGGGCTCTGTTCTGTTCCATTGGTCTATATATCTGTTTTGGTACCAGTACAATGCTGTTTTGGGTTACTGTAGCCTTGTAGTATACTTTAAAGTGAAGTAGTGTGATGCCTCCAGCTTTGTTCTTTTTGCTTAGGGTTGTCTTGGCCATGCGGGCTCTTTTTTGTTTCCATATGAAATTTAAAGTAAATTTTTTCCAATCCTGTGAAGAAGTTAATGTTAACTTGATGGGGATAGGATTGAATCTATAAATTACTTTCAGCAGTAGGACAATTTTCATGATATTGATTCTTCCAATCCATGAGCATGAAATGTTTTTCCATTTGTTTGTGTCCTCTCTTATTTCCTTGAGCAGTGGTTTGTAGTTCTCCTTGAAGAGGTTCTTCACATCCCTTGTAACTTGTATTCCTAGGTATTTTATTCTCTTTGTAGTAATTGTGAATGGGAGCTCACTCTTTATTTGGCTCTCTGTTTGTCTGTTATAGGTGTATAGGAATGCTTGTGATTTTTGCACATTGATTTTGTATCCTGAGACTTTGCTGAAGTTGCTTATCAGCTTAAGGAGGTTTGGGCTGAGACAATGGGGTTTTCTAAATATACAATCATGTCATCTGCAAACAGAGACAATTTGACTTCCTCTTTTCCTAATTGAATACTCTTAATTTCTTTCTCTTGCCTGATTGCCCTGGCCAGAACTTCCAATACTATGTTGAATAGGAGTGATGACAGAGGGCATCCTTGTCTTTTGCTGGTTTTCAAAGGGAATGTTTCCAGGTTTTGCCCATTCCATATGATATTGGCTGTGGGTTTGTCATAAATATCTCTTATTATTTTGAGATATGTTTCATCAATAGCTAGTTTTATTGAGAGATTTTAGCATGAAGTGCTGTTGAATTTTGTTGAAGGCCTTTTCTGCATCTGTTAAGATAATCATATGTTTTTTGTCATTTGTTCTGTTTATGTGATGGATTACATTTATTGATTTGCGTTTGTTGAACCAGCCTTGCATCCAGGGATGAAGCCGACTTGATTGTGGATAAACTTTTTGATGTGCTACTGGATTTGGTTTGCCAGTATTATTGAGGATTTTCGCATAGATATTCATCAGGGATATTGGCCTGAAATTTTCTTTTTTTGTTTTGTCTCTGCCAGGTTTTGGTATCAGGATGATGCTGGCCTCATACAATAGGTTAGGGAGGCGTCCCTCTTTTTCTATTGTTTGGAATAGTTTCAGAAGGAATGGTACCAGCTCCTCTTTGTACCTCTGGTAGAATTCGGCTATGAATACATCTGGTCCTGGACTTTTTTTGGTTGGTAGGCTATTAATTGCTGCCTCAATTTCAGAATTTGTTTTTGGTCTATTCAGGGATTCAACTTCTTCCTGGTTTAATCTTGGGAGGGTGTATGTGTCCAGGAATTTATCCATTTCTTCTAGATTTTCTACTTTATTTGCATAGAGGTGTTTATAGTATTCTCTGATGGTAGTTTGTATGTCTGTGGGATCGGTGGTGATATCCCCTTTGCCATTTTTATTGCATCTATTTGATTCTTCTCTCTTTTCTTCTTTATTAGTTTGGCTAGTGGTCTATCTACTTTGTTGGTCTTTTCAAATAAACAGCTCCTGGATTCATTGGTTTTTTGAAGGGTTTTTTGTGTCTCTATTTCCTTCAGTTCTGCTCTGATCTTAGTTATTTCTTGTCTTCTGCTAGCTTTTGCATTTGTTTGCTCTTGCTTTTCTAATTCTTTTAATTGTGATGTTAGCATGTCAATTTTAGATCTTTCCAGCTTTCTCTTGAGGACATTTAGTACTATATATTTCCCTCTACACACTGCATTAAATGTGTCCCAGAGATTCTGGTACATTATGTCTTTGTTCTCATTGGTTTCAAAGAACATCTTCATTACTGCCTTCATTTTGTTATTTACCCAGAGTCATTCAGGAGCAGGTTGTTCAGTTTTCATGTAGTCGTGCAGTTTTGAGTGAGTTTCTTAATCCTGATTCCTAATTTGATTGCACTGTGGTCTGAGAGACTGTTATGCTTTTCATTCTTTTGCATTTGCTGAGGAGGGTTTTACTTCCAATTATGTGGTCAATTTTAGAATAAGTGTGATGTGATGCTGGGAAGAATGTATATCCTGTTGATTTGGGGTGGAGAGTTCTGTAGATGTCTATTAAGTCCACTTGGTCCAGAGCTGAGTTCAAGTCCTGGATATCCTTGTTAATTTTCTGTCTCATTGATCTGTCTAATATTGATAGTGGGGTGTTAAAGTCTCCCACTATTATTGTATAGGAGTCTACATCTCTTTGTAGTCTCCAAGAACTTGCTTTATGAATCTGGGTGCTCCTGTGTTGGGTGCATACATATTTAGGATAGTTAACTCTTCTTGTTGCATTGATCCCTTTACCATTATGTAATGGCTTCTTCGTCTCTTTTGATCTTTGTTGGTTTAAAGTCTGTTTTATTACAGACTAGGATTGCAACCCCTGCTTTTTTTCTGCTTTCCATTTGGTTGGTAAAATTTCCTGCTTTCTTTCGTTTTGAGCCTATGTGTGTCTTTGCACGTGAGATGGGTCTCCTGAATACAGCACACTGATGGGTCTTGAATCTTTATCCAATTTGTGAGTCTGTGTCTTTTAATTGGGGCATTTAGCCCATTTACATTTAAGGTTAATATTGTTATGTGTGAATGTGATCCTGCCATTATGATGCTAGCTGTTTATTTTGCCCGTTAGTGGATGCAGTTTCTTCATAGTGTCAATGGTCTTTACAATTTGGTAGGTTTTTGCAGTGTCTGGTACCATTTGTTCCTTTCCATATTTAGTGCTTCCTTCAGAAGCTCTTGTAAGGCAGGCCTGGTGGTGACAAGATCTCTCAGCATTTGCTTGTCTGTAAATGATTTTATTTCTCTTTTGCTTATGAAGCTTAGTTTGGCTGGATGTAAAATTCTGGGTTGAAAATTCTTTTCTTTAAGTATGTGAATATTGATCCCCACTCTCTTCTGCTTGTAGGGTATCTGCTGAGAGATCTGCTGTTAGTCTGATGGGCCTCCCTTTGTCGGTAACCCAACCTTTCTCTCTGGCTGCCCTTAACATTTTTTCCTTCATTTAAACCTTGGTGAATCTGAGGATTATGTGTCATGGGGTTGCTCTTCTAAAGGAATATCTTTTTGGTGTTCTCTGTGTTTCCTGAATTTGAATGTTGGCCTGTCTTGGTAGGTTGGGGAAGTTCTCTTGGATAATATCCTGAAGAGTGTTTCCCAACTTGGTTCCATTCTCCCCGTCACTTTGAGGTACACCAATAAAACGTAGATTTGGTCTTTTCACACAGTCCCATATTTCTTGGAGGCTTTGTTCGTTTCTTTCACTCTTTTTTCTCTAACCTTGTCTTTCCGCTTTATTTCATTGAGTTGATCTTTAATCTCTGATATACTTTCTTCCGCTTGATCTATTCAGCTATTGACACTTGTGTATGCTTCATGAAGTTCTTGTGCTGTGTTTTTCTGCTCCAGCAGGTCATTTATGTTCTTCTCTAAACTATTTATTCCAGTTAGCAATTTGACTAACCTTTTCTCAAGGTTCTTAGCTTCCTTGCATTGGGTTAGAACTTGGTCCTTTAGCTCAGAGGAGTTTGTTATTACCCACCTTCTGAAGCCTACTTCTGTCAATTCGTCAAACTCATTCTCCGTCCAGTTTTGTTCCCTTGGTGGTGAGGAGTTGTGATCCTTTGGAGGAGAGGAGGCATTCAGGTTTTTGGAATTTTCAGCCCTTCTGCACTGGTTTCTCCCCATCTTCGTGAATTTATCTACCTTTGGTCTTTGAAGTCGATGACCTTCAGATGGGGTCTCTGAGTGGATGTTTTTTTTGTTGATGTTGTTACTATTCCTTTCTGTTTGTTAGTTTTCCTTCTAACAGTCCAGCTCCTCTGCTGCATGTCTGCTGGTGTTTGCTGGAGTTCCACTCTAGACCCTGTTTGCCTGGGTATCACCAGCGGAGGCTGCAGAACAGCAAAGATTGCTGCCTGTTCCTTCCTCTGGAAGCTTTGTCCCAGTGAGGCACCCACCAGATGCCAGCCAGAGCTCTCCTGTAAGAGGTGTCTGTCGGCCTCTGCTGGGAGTTGTCTCCCAATCAGGATACACTTGAGGAGGCAGTCTGATCCTTATCAGAGCTCAGACGCTGTGCTGGGAGATCTGCTGTTCTCTTCAGAGCTGCCAGGCAGGGATGTTTAAGTCTGCTGAAGCTGCACCTACAACCGCCCCTTCCCCTAGGTGCTCTGTCCCGGGGAGGTAGAGGTTTTATCTATAAGTCTGTGGCTGGGGCTTCTGCCTTTTTTTCAGGGAGGGACTCTTGAGAAGGCAATCTGGCCATGGTGGCTTTGCTGAGCTGTAGTGGACTCTGCCCAGTTTGAACTTCCCAGCAGCTTTGTTTACACTGTGAGGATAAAACCACCCTCTCAAGCCTCAGTAATGGCAGACACCTCTCCCTTCACCAAGCTCGAGCATCCCAGGTTGAGCTCAGACTGCTGTGCTGGCAGTGAGACTTTCCAGCCAGTGGATCTTAGCTTGCTGGACTCCATGAGGGTGGGAACCGATGAGCCAGACCACTTGGCTCCCTGGCTTCACCCCCCTGGCTTCTGTCTCACTCATGTTCCAGGTGCCACTCGGGTATGAGAAATAAACTCCTGTGGCTAGCTCGGTGTCTGCTCAAGTGGCCACCCAGTTTCGTGCTGGAAACCAAGGTCCCTGGTGGTGTAGGCACCGGAGGGGATCTCCTGGTCTGAGGGTTGCGAAGACCACGGGAAAAGCACAGTATCCGAGCCAGAGTGCAAGTTACAGTCCCTAATGGCTTCCCTTGGCTAGGAGAGGGAGTTCCTTTCCTTCCTGGGTAAGGTGACACCACACCCTGCTTTGGCTTGCCCTCCTTGGGCTGCACCCACTGTACAACCAGTCCCAATGAGATGAACCAGTCCCAATGAGATGTACCTCAGTTGGAAATGCAGAAATCACCTGCCTTCTACATCATTATCACTGGGAGCTGCAGACTGGAGCTGTTCCTATTTGGCCATCTTCTCTTCATGATTTTTTAGTTTCCATTTTGAAAGCTAGATCTTGGTGTCATCTATATTCTTAGGCATCTTATGTATTCAAATGTGTTTATTCATGTAGAAACAATTATACTTTATGTTGCATTGTTATATACTTTTTAAATTTTTAAAATTAAAATATATTAATTTAATGATTTTTATTTTGTAATAAGATTTTGTATTTCATAATATATATCACTGTTGTAAATATTCTTTATTCAGTTAAATATTGTCCAGTAAGACATAAATATAAAACTAATAAAATGGATTTTCTTCTTTTCAAACTTTATGTTATCTTACTGTTTTTCAATTTCAGAAGACAGAGAATGGATTCCAGACCATAGCTTAAGTGAATATGCTGATAATGCAATTGTCTTGGGTGTTCTGCAGGGTGCTCAGAGTCCATCATCAAGTAGAAAACAGCAAAAGATGGGTAACATTGACTCAAAGGCAGCAGTGCCATGTTGGCAGCTTACTTCCTTTAGTAGTTTGCTTTTTTAGCAGTTTAGTAGGCACCTGCAATTTAGTTTTTGAAGTTCTGTAATTTAAATTCATTCATTTTAACTAAATGTCCTCGACTTTTCTTCCAAAACCAAAGCATAAAAACAAGTGAGCTCATTTTTCCAAAGGCATGAATTATCATCTTAGTTATTTTCTATAACAATGTATTAGGAAATAATATTTGCAAAATGTAGTTAAGGATATGGCATATTTTGAACAATCCTTATAAAATACATGGTTTCATTACTCACTCAGGAAGCAGTATGTTTATACCAGATTTTGCATACTCTTTCACTTGATATATATTATGATCAGACAGAGCCATATGTGAAATGATTGACTTAGGTTAAGATGCTGTTTCTTGCTGGGATTGAGAAAGCTTAGTTCTAAATATAATTCTGTATGCATTGACCCTGGAATCTTCATTTCAGTTCATTACCTCTATTCTCTAAACAAAGTAATTATAAGATTTTCCATAGAATAATTCTTTTGACATACTGAATATCTATTTTGATACTTTCCTAATGAGTGTATACAGAGCATATAACATCATTAAAATCACTACTATTATTAGGACATTACTGTTATCCCATTATACCAGCTATAGTGGGTTTGCTCTATGCCAAAGTAGGAAGTTGTAGTAGACAACTAATGAATTCAGGTAATTCAGCATATATTTTGAGGATATTAGCACTTGGATTGGCCCCGAGGATAAAAGAGATATGTAAGTAATATTCCCTGATCTTATTGAGCTCACAGTTTAGGAGGAATACCTGAGAAAGGGGGCTATTTGCCTTGGTTTAAAGGCTATCTTCAAGGCAGAAATTTAATTGCATATGATTTGCCTCTCTATATAAGATATATATGTCTCTCTTGCCCTAAAATCTATGATTAAAACTCTCTGGCTATCTTAGATCCTTTCCATGTGCATTTATGTTGAGAATCTGTCAGATATAAAATTTTTAGGGAGAAAACAATGTATTTATGATTTTTTTGGCTCTATACTTAGATGCCTATTTTTACATCAAAGTCGACAGCAACTTCAAAAATTCTGGTTGCTTCCCTCTGAGGCAATCAGAAAGAACTGCTTTAAGTCACTGTATATTGATGAAAACAAATTCATATACGTGCTATGAGAAATTTATTACAAAGACAAATCTACAAATCCATAGTCAAATGCTTTTAAGTATCAATTTGGACAGATCAGTCAAAATCAATAATTTGCTATAAAAAACATTTGTTCAAGCACTACTGCCAGACACTGTTTATACAAAACAAACTCTTATCTCTATTGCTTAAGAGCTTAGAGTCCAGTATAAAATTTTCTCAAAAGTCGCTGTGGGCATAATCACCTGGGAAACCTCTTGCAATGCAGATTTCTGGATCTGACTCTTAGGGATTCTGATTAATTAAGGCTGAGGTAATGCCTAAGAAATTGCATTTATTTTCTGAACAACAACAACTCCGTGTTATGCTAATATAAACAGTCTGAATACCATATTTTGAGAAAAGTGCTATAAATTTTTTGATATATATAAAATGTGTGTGTGAATATGTAAATTATACCACATATAAGTTTTATAAAAAGACCTATGAGTAATTTACTTTTGGACCTTAATAGGTAATTAATGATAATATGTCCTATCAGCTATAATAGTTAGATATATAAGCAAGGTTTTTTTTTAGAAATAGAGATGATAACATAATGACTTTGCTATTGAAAAGTGTAGATTGGCAAGATATTAGAGACTAGGTAACATTCAGTTGAGTCTTTAAAAAGTTATAATATTTACCAGTTAGAGAAGGTAGGAAATGGCTTTCTGAACAGAGACAATGGTCTAAAATAAACTAAAAATTGCCTGGCTCTGTCACAAGTTATAGAAATCTTGTATTCTGCACTGATGCCAGTATATAGAGGAATTCCCATTTCCATAACAATTAAGAAGTCATGAATGTAAAAACATCGTAGCTATGTGTGTTTAGCAGCAAGTTTATTCATTCTTCTCATCCCTGCCACAACTTAATCCTCCCCTAGCCCATCTTCCTGCCTCTGGAAATGGCAACTGTATCCAAACATTGATTAAGTCTGAAATTTGGGAGTCATCTTGCCTCTCACTCAGTGTATCCTATTTATTTTTAGATTCTGCTGATTTCAGCTCTAAAATCAAGCCCAACACTAAACACTTTTACCTTCACTATTCAAGATTAGTCCAAGCCATTTGTCTTCATCTCTCATTTGTCTCCCATTTTCACTTTTACTTCTCCCAAAATCATGTTGCTATAATTCATTTCCATTATATTCTACTATTTATAGTCAGTGAGTGAATTGTTTTTACTCATAACAGTATTGATATTTATAGTTTATAGGAAGTGAATCGTACTTTCCATAAATGTAAACCATATATTGTATCATGCCATTCTATTGTCTAAAGCATTCCATGGATCCCTATAGAAAGTAGAAAAAAGTATGCCTTACCATGTATCACACAGCAACACCTTGGTTGGCTACCCGTCTCTCCTAACTGCATCTTCTCCTACACTGTAGCCACATTTACTTTCTTTCTGTTCTTAAGCCACTCTCTTACTCACTTCTTAGCCTTAGAATTAGATCTTACCTCTTCTCCAGGATGCTCTGAAATTTCCCTCTCCATTCTCACACTCTTCATATGATTGATTCTTTTCCATTATTCAGCTTCAGTCCAGATGCTACCTCCATAGAGAGACCTTCTGGCACCACCCTATCTAGTGCTGGTCTCTTGAGTTCCTCTATCACATTTACCTTCTTTTATTTTTCTTGTAAAAGCTATCACTATTTAACATCATCTTATTAGCTTTTTTCCTGCTTTCTCTTACCCTTGGTTGGAAAGAAATCAAGGACTAGTCTGTCCTGTTCATTGGGGTATCTTCAGTAATGGAACAGGGCCTGGCCTATTGTAAGTGCTCAGTAAGTGTTTTCCAATTAGTAGAGTAGGCTAGTAGAACTGTGTGTTAGTTTGGAGTGCAACTTGAGGGTGGAGGTGATGTCTTATTCCCTTTTGAATACCCCAATCCTGACACAGTGCCTGGCAGTTTTAGAGGGTGATAAATAATTTTATAATTGAATTTGATTGAGTATTAATTCACAAGCTCTCAGAGTTGGAAGGAATTTAAGACGTTCTACTATCCAGTTCCTGAATTTTGTATTTCACAGGTCATAAGCTGTTTTCTAATTCTATAAGATAACACAATAACATTCTTAGTTACCTAGTTTAGTATTCTTTCCACTTAACCATGCTGCTAAATAAAATTTGTATATAAATTTAAGAATTCTTAGAAAATACATTTCTAAGAATTCTTTTTATGTATAAATTCTCAGCAGTTGATACAGTGAAACATGAATGTCAATAGACAACAGTGTTTTGCAAACTTTATTTAAGATCAAAATACTGGGTCCTTTGATAAGAATATTATTTGTTATTAAAACGCTACCTAAAATTATGTTGCTATAGTTACATTTCATCTAATTCTATTGTTATATTTAGAATAGCAATAACGATTATCATTCAGTGAATTATTCCTATTTTTTATATCCTTACCAGTAATATTGTATCCATTAATATGATTTAAAGTCACTATTGAATTTTATCTTCCCAATAGTTGGCTTAGTTTTATTAGTAATCATAGAGCATATATTCTTCAGTTAACACCAAGGAAAATTTATTTTGTTACATTTAGAATATAACTGATCAGTGTTAACCAATAATTTCTTATGATTACATTGACAGTGATGGCGCATGTTACTCCAAAAGTAACTTCTTATGCTTTTAATCTACAAATTGAGATTTTTTTTAAAAAAAATATGGAATGATCCCCTCAATCATGGCATTTTTAACTAGTGCCAGTGTTAATGTTGTGTTATATCTTAAACTTAACCGTAACATTAGTACCCTTATATATTAAACATTAGAAAGAATGATATATTGGCTTAAAAGAACAATAAACAAAATCAAGAATCAAACTGGGGCCTCTTCTGTCTGTTTCTGTGTTTTAGTTACTTTAAATTACACTTTGAGCATATTTCCAGTAAGAAAGATGGTCTGTTTCTTTGCTGTGTGCTAAGCATAAGTCTGACCTGTCCTTTGTGTACTTTTTCTCAATGGGGATCAATTACCTTTAAATACTGTGGCAATCAAATGTTCTTATTAGTGTTCGTACTCTTCTAGATTTTCTGAAGGGCATCTACATTATATTAAATTTTTCTTTCTTCATTTCTGTGAATTGGCAGAAGTCCAGTCCTTACTCATAGTATTTTCGTTTGGTTTGTTTTTTTAAAGAGTTGTGAATTCCTTTAAATTTTACCTTGATTGAGACATATCATAGTACAGATACTAAAGTGTGGTTTACCCCATAGAGTAGAACTTTTGATTTATATTGCGAATTATTGTTACACTCTCTGACTTGTGCAGCTACTGCTATTGCCTGTGCTATTGCTTCCTTATGTAGACTTGGAGAGTTTGGTTCTTGATTGCTATAAATATGGTTCTTTACATATTATAGATAAAAGAGGAAATCATTTCTAACTTATAGTCATAAAAATAATTCTCAGGGATAATTATATATATATATAGATATAGATATATGTTTTTAACACTTAGGCATATTTTAGCCCATTATTTTTATCTGAGCACAAATAGACACAAAAGATCAGTCTTATTTTAACTTACTCATAATTTTATTTCAATTAAAATTATTTTAAAAATTGATTTCTGAAATTTTCACTAAAGTTGGTACCCTTTGAGACTTACCTTGGCCAATTTTAATTGCTTAAATAATTACATACTGTATTGAGAGTCTTCTTGAGGTATTAGACACATTCGAAGTAGATTTTTTTTAAGTTAAAAAAAGACAAACTCCACTTTGGTAGGCTGAGGCAGGCGGATCATGAAGTCTGGAGATCAAGACCATCCTGGCCAACATGGTGAAACCCCATCTCTACTAAAAATACAAAAATTAGCTGGGTGTGGTGGCACGCGCCTGTAATCCCAGCTTGGGAGCCTGGGGCAGGAGAATCGCTTGAACCTGGGAGGCAAAGGTTGCAGTGAGCCGAGATCGTGCCACTGCACTCCAGCCTAGTGACAGAGCAAGACTCCTTCTCCAAAAAAACTCCCAAAACCCCCCAAAAACAACTCAATAGTCATTAAATATTTAATACATGATTACCGCCTGTAGTCACTTTTTTGAATTTTATATTTTTTGTTGAGTCACTAGAGTGAGAACAATGTTATATGGCATAGGTTCCATCAAATTAGGGTTTTTATGATAATGACAATTGCACCCACCTAATAGTTTTACAAAGCCAGTTTGTGTTAAGGGAGTGCAAAGTTATCTTATAATATAATTATGTTTACTATAAATATATTTACCTAAATCAGAACAATAATTTATTACATTAAAGCATTTACCTGCCCTATGAATTTTTAAATATGTACCTTGAAAACTGTCTTGGCCTTATTAAGTAATATTTTGTGAGAAATACCAAATTAGAAATTAGTTATGTTGTGTTAGTATAAGATTTGAAGAGATTTTTTTTTCCTACTGTTAAAGGAGCAAACATGTTGAAGAAACCAACTAAGTCAACTTTCAAAACAGGTGAAGACAAAGTAGCGACTGTCCTAGAGGAACAATGTAATAACCTAATTTAGATCGGTGCTTCTGGAACTTTTCCAGAAGAGAGTGAGCTCATCCGTAGGAAAATTAGAGACGTGATCTCAATTTCTTTAAAGCCTGTGTTTTTCCAAATATTCATATAGATTTTGTAAATTAGTCTCTTTTGTTGCCATATTTTTAAATGTAAGAATAAATTACATATCATCAAGTAAAATTGGTTTACTAGGAAGTGGCACGATGCTTTTTCTAAGGTTTTTTTTCTTACAAGGTATTAAGTTTGGTATTGTCCTGGAATTTAAGACACATGTCGTGGTGCTTGGCTTTGGAATACGTTATAAAATTGTGTGTTGTTTCTCTACAAAGTTGACTTAGTTTATAGATATTTTCCTTTGTGAATATTAAAATTAGTTTGTTTTCCTCTGAATGTAGGAAAATTAGGAAAAAAATACACAGAAGTGTTCTTTATGACATTGGAAAAGTAATTTGAGATTAAGAAAATGTGGTTAGCTAGAAAGGGTGATAGTCAAAGTTAACTTTTCATAAACTCTGTTACATGAACTTAACTTCTCTGTGTGCAGGGACCTGGTATTTTGTATCTTTAAGTACTCATTCAAATTTTTAAAAGTTGATTTAAAAACTTTTTACTTTTAATTTTAGGTCAGAAATCACAGAGACCTTCAACAGCAAATTTTCCACTTTCCAACTCTGTTAAAGAAAGCTCCAGTTGCCTTTCATCCTCTCATCCTCGATCAAGAAGTGCAGCTGCTCAATCATCATCTAGAGCTGCTTCTGAAATTTCAGAAATTGAATATATTGATATTACTGACCAGAATGAGCTTTCCTTAGATGACACTACTGATCAACATACTTTAGACAATTTGGAAAAAGAATTACAAGTGCTGAGATCTCTTGCAGGTAATCCTATTTTTTTTTTCACTTTAGATAATGCTAATTAACTCTGCCCTCAGCCGGATTCTTCATATCTTGCGCTAACAAAACAAGCCAGCAAACAAGAAAGCTTTCCTTTTTCTTCTTTAACCATCAACCGTTGTGTCTGTTTTCCTGGAAATCCCCGATATCACTCTGAATATGTTTAAAAATGTGTGGATGCCCAGCCACACCAAAGATGGACCCCATAGCCTATAAAACACAGCTAAATTGTGGAATGAATAATTTCATGTGCACGGAAAAAATCTTTTTTTCTCCTTTCTGCAAACCCACTATAGGATTAATCTCTGTAGCTTTATGTAAGCCGCTGTTCAATATCCTTATTGGAAAATTGAGCCATTAGATCTTTTAAAGCAGTGCTTTTCAAGCTTAAATGTTTATACAGATCATTCAGGGGATCTTGTCACCATGAAAATTCTGATTGAGTATGTCAGGTAAGGTAAGATTCTGCATATCTAACAAATACCCAGGTGATGCCAGTGCTGCTAGTTGGCAAACCACATCTTGAAAAATTATACTTGCGCATTTTATTTCCAACTTAAGTGGACATAGTCAGCAATATAGTGACCATATTCTTGAACATGTAAAGGTCTGGCTCAGTAGCAAAACATCAGGGGAATTAATCCTTTTATTTGCATTATAAAGGCACTCACACAGTTTGAAAGAAGCCAGCTGCAGATACAGGAGACAGGCTAGAAAATTCTTTGGTCCCATATATTCCACACTTGCTTTTCCGTTGTTTTTCCTGTTAGTGGTCTCTTCCTTTATTGATCTTGGAGTAACGACTTTGCTATTGTTCTATAAATTATACATCTTTGTTTTGAAAAATTAAAGCAATACAAAATTACAAAAAAAGAAATAAAAACCCACCACAAATTCTAACTACTCTTAAAATAACCATTATTAACATTTAGTGAGAATCATTTTTTACTTATTTATTTATTTATTATTATTATACTTTAAGTTTTAGGGTACCTGTGCACAATGTGCCATGCTGGTACCTCTGCATACATGTGCCATGCTGGCGCGCTGCACCCACTAACTCATCATCTAGCATTAGGTATATTGCCCAATGCTATCGCTCCCCCTACCCCCACCCCACAACAGTCCGCAGAGTGTGATGTTCCCCTTCCTGTGTCCATGTGTTCTCATTGTTCAGTTCCCACCTATGAGTGAGAATATGTGGTGTTTGGTTTTTTGTTCTTGCAATAGTTTACTGAGAATGATGATTTCCAATTTCATCCATGTCCCTACAAAGGACATGAACTCATCATTTTTTATGGCTGCATAGTATTCCATGGTGTGTATGTGCCACATTTTCTTAATCCAGTCTATCATTGTTGGACATTTGGGTTGGTTCCAAGTCTTTGCTATTGTGAATAATGCTGCAATAAACATACATGTGCATGTGTCTTTATAGCAGCATGATTTATAGTCCTTTGGGTATATACCCAGTAATGGGATGGCTGGGTCAAATGGTATTTCTAGTTCTAGATCACTGAGGAATCGCCACACTGACTTCCACAATGGTTGAACTAGTTTACAGTCCCACCAACAGTGTAAAAGTGTTCCTATTTCTCCACATCCTCTCTAGCACCTGTTGTTTCCTGACTTTTTAATGATTGCCATTCTAACTGGTGTGAGATGGTATCTCATTGTGGTTTTGATTTGCATTTCTCTGATGGCCAGTGATGGTGAGCATTTTTTCATGTGTTTTTTGGCTGCATAAATGTCTTCTTTTGAGAAGTGTCTGTTCATGTCCTTCACCCACTTTTTGATGGGGTTGTTTGTTTTTTTCTTGTAAATTTGTTTGAGTTCATTGTAGATTCTGGATATTAGCCCTTTGTCAGATGAGTAGGTTGCAAAAATTTTCTCCCATTTTATAGGTTACCTGTTCACTCTGATGGTAGTTTTTTTTTTTTTGCTGTGCAGAAGCTGTTTACTTTAATTAGATCCCGTTTGTCAATTTTGGCTGTTGTTGCCATTGCTTTTGGTGTTTTAGACATGAAGTCCTTGCCCATGCCTGTGTCCTCAATGGTAATGCCTAGGTTTTCTTCTAGGGTTTTTATGGTTTTTGGTCTAAAGTTTAAGTCTTTAATCCATCTTGAATTGATTTTTGTATAAGGTGTAAGGAAGGGATCCAGTTTCAGCTTTCTACATATGGCTAGCCAGTTTTCCCAGCACCATTTATTAAATAGGGAATCCTTTCCCCATTGCTTGTTTTTGTCAGGTTTGTCAAAGATCAGATAGCTGTAGATATGCGGCGTTATTTCTGAGGGCTCTGTTCTGTTCCATTGATATATATCTCTGTTTTGGTACCAGTACCATGCTGTTTTGGTTACTGTAGCCTTGTAGTACAGTTTGAAGTCAGGTAGTATGATGCCTCCAGCTTTGTTCTTTTGGCTTAGGATTGACTTGGCGATGCGGGCTCTTTTCTGGTTCCATATGAACTTTAAAGTAGTTTTTTCCAATTCTGTGAAGAAAGTCATTGGTAGCTTGATGGGGATGGCATTGAATCTATAAATTACCTTGGGCAGTATGGCCATTTTCATGATATTGATTCTTCCTACCCATGAGCATGGAAAGTTCTTCCATTTGTTTGTATCCTCTTTTATTTCATTGAGCAGTGGTTTGTAGTTCTCCTTGAAGAGGTCCTTCACATCCCTTGTAAGTTTGATTCCTAGGTATTTTATTCTCTTTGAAGCAATTGTGAATGGGAGTTCACTCATGATTTGGCTCTCTGTTTGTCTGTTATTGGTGTAGAAGAATGCTTGTGATTTTTGTACATTGATTTTGTATCCTGAGACATTGCTGAAGTTGCTTATCAGCTTAAGGAGATTTTGGGCTGAGACAATGGGGTTTTCTAGATATACAATCATGTCGTCTGCAAACAGGGACAATTTGACTTCCTCTTTTCCTAATTGAATACCCTTTATTTCCTTCTCCTGCCTAATTGCCCTGGCCAGGACTTCCAACACTATGTTGAACAGGAGTGGTGACAGAATCCCTGTCTTGTGCCAGTTTTCAAAGGGAATGCTTCCAGTTTTTGCCCATTCAGTATGATATTGGCTGTGGGTTTGTCATAGATAGCTCTTATTATTTTGAAATATGTCCCATCAATGCCTAATTTATTGAGAGTTTTTAGCATGAAGGGTTGTTGGATTTTGTCAAAGGCTTTTTCTGCATCTATTGAGATAATCATGTGGTTTTTGTCTTTGGTTCTGTTTATATGCTGGATTACATTTATTGATTTGCACATATTGAACCAGCCTTGCATCCCAGGGATGAAGCCCACTTGATCATGGTGGATAAGCTTTTTGATGTGCTGCTGGATTCTGTTTGCCAGTATTTTATTGAGGATTTTTGCATCAATGTTCATCAAGGATATTGGTCTAAAATTCTCTTTTTTGGTTGTGTCTCTGCCCGGCTTTGGTATCAGGATGATGCTGGCCTCATAAAATGAGTTAGGGAGGATTCCCTCTTTTTCTATTGATTGGAGTAGTTTCAGAAGGAATGGTACCAGTTCCTCCTTGTACCTCTGGTAGAATTCGGCTGTGAATCCATCTGGTCCTGGACTCTTTTTGGTTGATAAGCTATTGATTATTGCCACAATTTCAGATCCTGTTATTGGTCTATTCAGAGATTCAACTTCTTCCTGGTTTAGTCTTGGGAGAGTGTATGTGTCGAGGAATTTATCCATTTCTTGTAGATTTTCTAGTTTATTTGCGTAGAGGTGTTTGTAGTATTCTCTGATGGTAGTTTGTATTTCTGTGGGATCGGTGGTGATATCCCCTTTATCATTTTTTATTGCGTCTATTTGATTCTTCTCTCTTTTTTTCTTTATTAGTCTTGCTAGTGGTTTATCAATTTTGTTGATCCTTCCAAAAAACCAGCTCCTGGATTCATTAATTTTTTGAAGGGTTTTTTGTGTCTCTATTTCCTTCATTTCTGCTCTGATTTTAGTTATTTCTTGCCTTCTGCTAGCTTTTGAATGTGTTTGCTCTTGCTTTTCTAGTTCTTTTAATTGTGATGTTAGGGTGTCAATTTTGGATCTTTCCTGCTTTCTCTTGTGGGCATTTAGTGCTATAAATTTCCCTCTACACACTGCTTTGGATGTGTCCCAGAGATTCTGGTATGTTGTGTCTTTGTTCTCGTTGGTTTCAAAGAACATCTTTATTTCTGCCTTCATTTCGTTATGTACCCAGTAGTCATTCAGGAGCAGGTTGTTCAGTTTCCATGTAGTTGAGTGGTTTTGAGTGAGATTCTTAATCCTGAGTTCTAGTTTCATTGCACTGTGGTCTGAGAGATAGTTTGTTATAATTTCTGTTCTTTTACATTTGCTGAGGAGAGCTTTACTTCCAAGTATGTGGTCAATTTCGGAATAGATGTGGTGTGGTGCTGAAAAAAATGTATATTCTGTTGATTTGGGGTAGAGAGTTCTGTAGATGTCTATTAGGTCTGCTTGGTGCAGAGCTGAGTTCAATTCCTGGGTATCCTTGTTGACTTTCTGTCTCGTTGATCTGTCTATTGTTGACAGTGGGGTGTTAAAGTCTCCCATTATTAATGTGTGGGAGTCTAAGTCTCTTTGTAGGTCACTCAGGACTTGCTTTATGAATCTGCTTGCTCCTGTATTGGGTGCATATATATTTAGGATAGTTAGCTCTTCTTGTTGAATTGATCCCTTTACCATTATGTAATGGCCTTCTTTGTCTCTTTTGATCTTTGTTGGTTTAAAGTCTGTTTTATCAGAGACTAGGATTGCAATCCCTGCCTTTTTTTGTTTTCCATTTGCTTGGTAGATCTTCCTCTATCCTTTTATTTTGAGCCTATGTGTGTCTCTGCACGTGAGATGGGCTTCCTGAATACAGCACACTGATGGGTTTTGACTCTTGATCCAATTTGCCAGTCTGTGTGTGTCTTTTAATTGGAGCATTTAGTCCATTTACATTTAAAGTTAATATTGTTATGTGTGAATTTGTTCCTGTCATTATGATGTTGGCTGGTTATTTTGCTCGTTAGTTGATGCAGTTTCTTCCTAGTCTCGATGGTCTTTACATTTTAGCATGATTTTGCAGCAGCTGGTACCGGTTGTTCCTTTCCATGTTTAGCGCTTCCTTCAGGAGCTCTTTTAGGGCAGGCCTGGTGGTGATAAAATTTCTCAACATTTGCTTTTCTGTAAAGTGTTTTATTTCTCCTTCACTTATGAAGCTTAGTTTGGCTGGATATGAAATTCTGGGTTGAAAATTCTTTTCTTTAAGAATGTTGAATATTGGCCCCCACTCTCTTCTGGCTTGTAGAGTTTCTACCGAGAGATCCGCTGTTAGTCTGATGGGCTTCCCTTTGAGGGTAACCCGACCTTTCTCTCTGGCTGCCCTTAACATTTTTTCCTTCATTTCAACTTTGGTGAATCTGACAATTATGTGTCTTGGAGTTGCTCTTCTCGAGGAATATCTTTGTGGCGTTCTCTATATTTCCTGAATCTGAATGTTGGCCTGCCTTGCTAGGTTGGGGAAGTTCTCCTGGATAATATCCTGCAGGGTGTTTTCCAACTTGGTTCCGTTCTCCCCGTCACTTTCAGGTACACCAGTCAGACGTAGATTTGGTCTTTTCACATAGTCCCATATTTCTTGGAGGCTTTGCTCGTTTCTTTTTATTCTTTTTTCTCTAAACTTCCCTTCTCACTTCATTTTATTCATTTCATCTTCCATCACTGATACCCTTTCTTCCAGTTGATTGCATCGGCTCCTGAGGCTTCTGCATTCTTCACATAGTTCTCTTCGAGCCTTGGTTTTCAGCTCCATCAGCTCCTTTAAGCACTTCTCTGTATTGGTTATTCTAGTTATACATTCTTCTAAATTTTTTTCAAAGTTTTCAACTTCTTTGCCTTTGGTTTGAATGTTCTCCCGTAGCGCGGAGTAATTTGATTGTCTGAAGCCTTCTTCTCTCAGCTCGTCAAAGTCATTCTCCATCCAGCTTTGTTCCGTTGCTGGTGAGGAACTGCATTCCTTTGGAGGAGGAGAGGCACTCTGCTTTTTAGAGTTTCCAATTTTTCTGCTCTGTTTGATGATGGTGATGTACAGATGGGTTTTTGGTGTGGATGTCCTTTCTGTTTGTTAGTTTTCCTTGTAACAGACAGGACCCTCAGCTGCAGGTCTGTTGGAGTACCCGGCCGTGTGAGGTGTCAGTCTGCCCCTGCTGGGGGGTGCCTCCCAGTTAGGCTGCTTGGGGGTCAGGGGTCAGGGACCCACTTGAGGAGGCAGTCTGCCCGTTCTCAGATCTCCAGCTGTGTGCTGGGAGAACCACTGCTCTCTTCAAAGCTGCCAGACAGGGACATTTAAGTCTGCAGAGGTTACTGCTGTCTTTTTGTTTGTCTGTGCCCTGCCCCCAGAGGTGGAGCCTACAGAGGCAGGCAGGCCTTCTTGAGCTGTGGTGGGCTCCACCCAGTTCGAGCTTCTGGGCTGCTTTGTTTACCTAAGCAAGCCTGGGCAATGGCGGGCACCCCTCCCCCAGCCTCGCTGCCACCTTGCAGTTTGATCTCAGACTGCTGTGCTAGCAATCAGCGAGATTCTGTGGGTGTAGGACCCTCCGAGCCATGTGCGGGATATAATCTCCTGGTGCGCCGTTTTTTAAGCCCGTTGGAAAAGCGCAGTATTCGGGTGGGAGTGACCCATTTTCCAGGTGCTGTCTGTCACCCCTTTCTTTGACTAGGAAAGGGAACTCCCTGACCCCTTGTGCTTCCCGAGTGAGGCAATGCCTCGCCCTGCTTCGGCTCGCGCACAGTGCGCGCACCCACTGACCTGCGCCCACTGTCTGGCACTCCCTAGTGAGATGAACCCGGTACCTCAGATGGAAATGCAGAAATCACCCGTCTTCTGCGTCGCTCACGCTGGGAGCTGTAGACCGGAGCTGTTCCTATTCGGCCATCTTGGCTCCTCCCAAGTGAGAATCATTTTAAACATCACTGTTTATATCATAAGTAAACATAGAAGAATATATATTTAGTAGAATGAACAGATTGAAGGAACATGATAAAAATTGTACAAAAATAGGTTTATGCACTCCATAATATATATTTTAAGTATATATTTAGCCAACTTAATAAAAGGAAAATCAAAATCAAATTAAAATTAATTGTACATTTCAGATAAATGTTTTTCCACCACAAAAATATTAAGTTGAACTTATTATAAATGAATTTCCGATGCCGCAAAAGAAACAGCACTCGAATATAAATTTAGTTTCCTCATCAAGGCAATTTTCTTTTGCAAAAGGGTGCCACTTGTGTCAAACAAGGTCACAAGTGCACACTGAACAAAGGACACCAGGGGGTTTTTATATCCTTAACGCGATCCCTATCTCTGTGTCCTTCCCCCATGGGCTGGGGTCAGACTGCAAAATCTGAGCTCATCTGATTGGCTACTTGTAAATATTTTTCTAAATATGGAAAGGAGGGGGACGTGAGGTACAGTGGTGGAGCTTGTGAGACGTGCAGTTTCAAGGGAACGATGGGTACAGGTAACCAAGGGAACAGATGTGAGTTATTGATTAGAACTGACGGGAAGGGGGTAGGCTGTTTACAGTAACTGTTGGCAAGGAGAAACAAGAAAGTTAAGTTGGAGAACAAAGGGTAAGGAAGTTAACAGGCTAAACCTTTTGAAAAGAAACTCAGAAAGATTCATTGTATCTTACAATTCCTCCCTTTTAAATTTTTATAATCTTTTCTCTTCAGACCTTTTTAACATGTTCTGGCTTTGCTGTTCAACTTGGTCTTCTAAAAGGAAAAGCTTATCTGAATAGGGTGGAGGAGAACTAAGGGAGGTTTTAGTGAGTGTTGTCTTTATAAGCTTTTGTACTAGCCCACGGATGCATGGTATGATGCAACACCTAACAAGAATAAGCACACCTATCATGACTGCAAGAGAAGTGAAGATTGGGGCCATGACTCCTTTCCATTTACCAAATCATCTTTCTAGCCATCCTGAAAGAGGGCTATCAATTCCAGAATTTTTAGCTAGTTCATTGGACAAAGCAGTCAGTCTCTGTAAGGCCTTTGTTATGCTTCTGTCGGGGGCAGTATTGTTTGGGATAAAGGTACAACATTGGGTTTTGATCATAATACAAACTCCACCTTTTTCAGCTAACGTCATGTCTAGGGCCATTCTGTTTTCCCAAGCCATTTGGCTAGTAGGTCCTAATTGCTCAACTATTCCTTTGACAGCATTTCTAGTGTAATTAATAAATCATTGCTGATTATAGTAGATATAATTTATCCAATCTACATTTTTATTAATAGTTACCCATGGAAATAATGATTCAAATCCTGCAGCTATTTGATCTCAGGCTTTGAATCTATCAGGTACCCCCTGTGGGACTCCAATTGCATCTAAATAAACGTCAGAGTCAAAAGACCCATAAGGGGCTTCTTTTATTTTGTGGCGTTGTGTTTTTTCTTTTTCTGGTTGATGAACTGCCAGGGTGAAAGGGATAGCCAATTGGACAAGAGCACAAGTACCGCTCCAGTTACCTGGCAGAGTGTCCAGTAAGGGTCCACCATAACACCACCATACATCTGCTTGAGGATGACTAAGGGGCGACTGATGGGTAAGCTCCTGCAAAGGCTTAAGCTCACTGCGTCCTGCTAAGCTGCCAAGGAACACTAAGTTCTCCCCCTGTCATGAGAGACACGAGGTGAAATGAGCAGAAGACCGAAGCTGAATGGCCCTTGGGGGCTGACCCACAGGGTGTTGCACTTTGGGATATAGCAGAGAGAGAGCTTGCCACAATTTGTTGCCCCAAGCCATGGAATCTTAGAAAAGAGCTACCATGCAGCCCATGCCCAGTTGACTGGGAGACCATCTGAGTGGAAAGGGGATGATCTGGGCCTCTGGCCAGCCATGTGCACGAGCATAACAATTGCTTTTATTTAATGTGAGACAGAATATTTGATCCATTCCAACCAGGCGTTTACATCTTGATATCCTGTTTCAATTTCTAAAGTTTGCCTTAGACCATCTACTGCTACAATATCTACTTTAGTATTATCATTAGGTATAGAAGAGATGGCAGTCTGATTAGAAGAAAGCTCAGAAGGAGAAGAGAAGGAAGGGGGTGAAGAGAATGAAGGATTAATAAAACGCATTTCAAAAGACCCTATGAGGTCTGTGCAGCCAAGTTGGCTCCTATGTTATAGAAGCGACTTAAAGTAGGTTTAGGATCAGTAGAGGTGGGAATGAGAATAGAAATGTATATGGGATTACATTGGTTACACTGGCAACTGGGGGAGGTGCTCTCCTTAGTAAAACGAATATATGGTTTTAAGGATATACAACCACTCGCTGATGAGGTCCAGCCTTGATATTCGGTTTTCCACAGGACATCATTCCAGCTATGACAGACTTGTTTTCCTACATTTGTTAAGGAACAAGAGTCTTGGTAGGGGGCGCCTTTCACTTTAAAGGGGCAGAGATACTTTTCTGAGGCTGAGAGTTGCCTCTGACTTTGGAGATCTCTACAGGGTATGACTAGACAAGCGTCAAATGTAATAACTTGGGGTGTGTTTGATTTAGTTAATTAATAACAAGGTGGTCAGCATTGGAAGGTGAAAAGAAGAATGGAAGAGAGTTAAATTTTTCTTAGCTTTAGTTTGAGGGGGTTTTCCCCTGGAATAATGGCCCATGACTTCGGGGTGGACGGTGCTTTCTTGACTCAAGTGTCAAGTCTCTGCTGTCCGGACTGCAGTTCAGTGGTCAGGAGCACTAGATAGGGTCCTTCCCAGGCTGGCTCAAGTTTGCATTCTTTCCAGCTTTTGATGAGGATATGATCCCTGGGCTGATGCTAATGGACCAGGAACTCTAGGAGTGGTGCCTGTACCATGAGACCTTTGGCTTTAAGAGAAGAGAAGGTAAAGGAGAGACCAAATATGTAATTCCTGAGGAATTGATCTTTTGTCTCAAACGTAGGGATATAGGTAGTGGAGTGTAAATAGGGCAGTCCATAGGGCATTTCATAAGGAGAAAGGCCTATATCCTTCTGAGGTGCAGTTTGGATTCTTAACAGGGCAATAAATAGGAAGACATTTGGTCCATGGTAACTGAGTCTCTAGAACTAATTTGGTTAAGTGATTTTTTAAAGTTTGATTCATCCTTTCTACTCTCCCTGATGAAGATGGATGCCAAGGTGTATGATATTCCCATTTAATGTCTAGGTCTTGGGACAACTTTTTAATGATGTGTGCTGTGAAATGGGTTCCATTGTCTGAGTCAGTGTTCTCTGTTAGTCCCAATCTAGGCACTGTATTTTCAATTAGTGCTTTTACTACATTATTGGCCGTTGCATTTGAAAAGGGAATAGCTTCGATCCAGTGAGTGAGGTGATCTACTATTAATAACAAATACTTTAGATGAGCAACTGGGGGCATTTCCGTGTAGTCACTCTGAATACTTTGGAATGGTCTTAGCCCTGGATTCCTCCCCACCAAGGGAGATTTCTTTATAACTTGTTTGTTGGGTTTTTTTTACATATTAAGCAACTGTCCATGACTTGTTTGGCCAAGGTATAAATTCCTATACACCCATGAACTCTGAGAACTACGTCACACATGGCTTTGGGTCCCCAGTGGGTCCCTTGATGCAAGTGAGGCAGGATTTCTCTCAGGAGAGGTTTGGATAGCATTTCCCTTTGGTCTGGTAATACCCATTTTCCTTCTGAGTTTTCTTTGGCCCCTATTTTTATTAATTTTTCTTTTTCCACGGCTGAGAAGACAGGGACTGCAGTAGAGGAAGACAAGGGGTTAAGTGAAAGACAGGTGTTCCAGATGAAACGGCAGCCTGCTTGGCTATCTGATCTGCTAAGTTGTTTCCCTAGCTTTCAAAAGAAAGGCTTTTCTGTTGTCTGGAAACATGAACAATAGCTATTTCTTCAGGAAACTGAAGATTATCTAATACTTGGGTGATTAACTCCTTGTGAACAAGGTCTTGGCTTTTGCTATTAATAAGACCTTGT
Organism: Homo sapiens; assembly: GCF_000001405.40. Taxonomy (NCBI): domain Eukaryota; kingdom Metazoa; phylum Chordata; class Mammalia; order Primates; family Hominidae; genus Homo; species Homo sapiens. Next base: position 167,271,203 of record NC_000003.12, on the reverse strand, counting down.
TTAGTCCAAATTTTTCCAAATGTATGGGCCACCCCAAAGGCATATTTAGAATCAATATGGATGGTTCCTTCCTGCAATTACTTTAAAGCTTGGATGAGTGCAAACAACTCACAAGTTTGGGCAGACCAATTATTAGGCAATTTGCCTGACTCTATTTCTTCAAGAGTTTCCCCATCAATTACTGAATACCCATTGTGTCTTTTTCCCTCAATCACCCAGGAGGAACCATCTATGAATAAGTGTCATCCTGTTTTGAAGGTGGTATCCCCTAGGTCTGGTCTGACCTTTGGTAGTCAATTAAATTGAGACATAGGTGCTCCCTGTTTAGAGTTGGATCTCCTGTTAAGAAACCTGCTGGGTTGAGTGAATTATCAGTAGTTAAGGTTAAATCATCTTTTTCCAGCAAAATAACTTCATATTTCAGGATTCTGGAGTCAGTAAGCCACCTCCCAGCTTTTTGATTTAGTATTGCTCTAACTTCGTGGGGTGTGCTTGCAGTCAACTTTACCCCTAAAGTTAACTTTCTGCTTTCTTCAACTAATATTGCCATAGCAGCAACAGAGTGGATGCATTGAGGCCATCCACAAGTGACTGGGTCTAAAACCTTTGATAAGAAGGCTACAGGCTGCCGGCAGCCACTGTGCTCTTGGGTAAGCACTCCTATAGCCACTCCATTATTTACACTGACAAAAAGGTGAAAGGGCTTTTCTAGAGAAGGCGAAGCTAAAACTAGGGCAGTCATAAGCCTTTCTTTTAATTCCTCAATTTGGTTGACTTCCTCAGAAGTCCACAGGAGATGGTCAGGTTTTTCTGGAGTAGGCTTCTGGTATAGCAGCTTACTGTGTAAGGCATATGAGTCAATCCATAAGCGGCAGTATCCAACTAATCCTAGAAATTTTCTGAGCTCATGCTTAGTTTGAGGCAAGGGTAAATACACGATGCCTTCAACTTGCTCCGGCACTATTCTCCACTTGCCTGCACTTACGAAATGGCCTAAATATTTGACCTCAGGTTCTGCATACTGAAGCTTTTTCTTTGAGACTTGTAGCCCCTCAGAATGTAGATGATCAAGGATATGTATGGAAAAACTGGTTACTTTTTCCACATCCTCTCCTGATATGAGGATATCATCAACATATTGGAGCATGCATGTATGCTTTGGAACAGAAACCTTTCCTAGCACTTGTTCTAAAATCTGACTAAAGAGGTTGGGTGAGTCTGCAAACCCTTGGGGCAAAACTGTCTGCTGATACTGTTGTTTTTACCCTGACTGGGTGTCTTCCCACTTAAAAGTGAATGTGCCTCAGCTATCTTCAGCTAGGGGACATGCCCAGAAAGCATGCTTTGAGTCTGTTACAGTAATCCATTGATGGATATATGGAATTTTACTGAGAATAGTGTAAGGGTTAGGGACAACAGGGTGAATAGTTGGTACTATTTGGTTGATAGCTCTAAGATTTTGTACTAACCGGTATGACCCATCTGATTTCTTGACGGGCAGTATTGGGGTGTTATAAAGAGACATACAAGGCTCAAGAAGCCCATCTTTCATGACACTTTCAATTATGGGCTTTAACCCTATCTGTCCTTCTGAAGGAATAGAGAATTACTTCCTCCTCACCACTTCCTCTGGGGTTTTTAGCTTGATGTGGATTGTGGGAATCTGAAGTTTTCCTTGGTTTCCTTCACAACGAGTGAATACATTTCTCATCTGTGGTGGTGAGTAAATTTAATGAGGCAAGGAATCCTTTTAGACTAACTTATAAGACTATGCCTAACTTCAACATTAATTCTCTTCCTAATAAGTTAGTTCCTGCCTCAGGGATCAATAAAAATTGGATATGAGTCAATCAATCTTAGAATTTAACTTCTGTACTTTCTAAGACTTTTGCTTTAAACCCTTCCACTTTTATCCCAGAGACTCAAAGGTCTTCTGAAGAGCAGGCAATGTCAGATAGAGGGAAACAGAGGAGCGAGCGGCCCCTGAATCGACTAGAAAGGTGATAAGCTCATGATTGGGTCCCACTTCTAAATGTATCAAGGGCTTCTGGTGGGACTTGAAGTAAAAGAGACAGAGCCCCTGAGCCCCCTACTCCTCCTCAGAGGTAATGAGGGAAAGGGCTTGTCTCTCCCTTTGTAATTTGGGACATTCTCTTTTGAAGTGGCCTGCCCTTCCACATCTGTAACACCTCTCTTGTCCTTCTTCTCTCCCAGCTCCAGGACTTTGCAACGTTGTTCCCCCATACTCTTTAGAGGGTCTGGTAGATGAGGGTCTGGGTCCTCTAGATGGAGGCTTGGTTCTTTTAAACGGGGGTCTGGACCTGGTATAGTTTCCGGCCCCCTGGAAGCTTTGTTTAGAAGTATGTGGATTTGGTTCCACCAAGTTTTGCCCTTTGTTTTTGTTTCTCTTCATCTCTTCTAACATATACTTATTGATCTTCTCTGAGAAGTTCACTCAGAGGTCGGTCTTCCCAATTTTCTAATTTTTGTATCTTCTTTGAAATATCTGGCCAACTCTTAGTGACAAAGTGGAGTTTTAACATTCCTTGTCCAAGGGGGTCTTCTAAGTTTAGGCCTGAATATTGTCTCGTTTGGTCCTTCAATCTGTTTAGAAATTTCATAGGCCCCTCATCTTTTTCCTGTTGTATATCAAGTGCTTTAGAGAGGTTGTGGGTTCAGGGTACTGATTCCCTAATTCTCTTTATTATCATCTCCCTTAGGTCTTGTATATTTTCCAAGTGAGCTGGGTTATTATTGTCCCACCAGGGGTCTTGGCCAGGAAGCTTTTGATCTGCGGTAGGAACGTCTTGACTGGGAGGGTGTTCACGCTCCCAAATTACCATAGCAGCCCTACTGATCATCCCTCTTTCTTCCCCCGAGAAGAGAATGCCTAAAATGGACATTAACTCAACCCAGGTGTGTAACTGAGGTCCCAGGGATTGATCAACTTGATCTGCTAACCCATAAGGGTCATCTAATAATGGCTTAAGTTCCTTCTTTAAATTCCAGACTTGTGAACTAGTTAGGGGAGCACTTACAAAGCCAATAGCACCTCCTCCTTGTGGTACCTCTCTCAAGCGGAAGAGAGTCAGAGCTGACTCCATAGATGTGGAGGGAAATGAGAAATTTTGGATATCTCTTTTACATTGTTCTACTTCATGTTGGAGTTCCTTCAGGGAGGGGCACTTAGGCTGAGAGGGAACAGGTTTATGGCATGATGATTCCCAAGAATCAGGATTATAAGGAGGAGGAATAACGTAAGGAGAAGAAGGATCTGGGGCAGGATCCAGGGCAGCAGCAGCTGCCTGAGGGGAAGGATTGGGGGCAATGAGTGGGGGAAGGTGGTCTAGGGGATCCCATGCGCTGGAGTCCTTAGCCATGGAAACCAGGTTTTTTGAGTCTTCATTGTCGGATGCTAGATCGGGCTTTTCCCTAGTTGTTTTTAAGGGATAGAGGAGAACAGGTCCCTGTCTCTAACAAAGAGCATAGTCCAGTTTCTCTTGAGAACACTGAACTTTTATCATTTACATGTTGAATTAGGAGTTGATACATTACATCCTCATTTGACCCAAACTGGCCAGAAGATTGAGGGCTTGAGGAGTGGACCCTGGGTCCAAACAAAACAGCAATATTTTATCATTTGTTGCTTTTTCTTATGTTTAGTTCTCTCAATACCTTTCCAATATTTTAACATGAGACCTAGGGGACTATCTGGGGGAATATATTTATTGCTATCTTTATCCTTTTCACTTCTCATAATACTTGGGGTATTTCCCATGTTGGGTCCTAGTTAGGCTCAATTTCTCATATTAGAAATTTCTTGCCTATCCTTCCCTGGAGGCTTATTAACGCTCAATTCCCTTGTATGAGGAATCTCTTGCCTATCCTTTAGCCCTACCTGCTGAAGGTTCCTTGTACCCTTCTTTAGCTTCGTCCACTCTGGATGCTTCCCTTGCAGAAATATTTCAGGTCCCTCTTATCATGGATGGTGGGCCAGTATAAACCCCTGACGGGACCCCCAAAGGGCCACCCTAAGCCATATGAGGTGACCGTGGAACCGCAGATTGGACTTACTCTGCACAGCAGTGGTAATTGTTACCATTCACACACTTTCAACTTCCAAGGAAATACTTTGTCGCCCCTGTGACTTTTCTTACCTTGGTTTGTGCACAGAGTTTACCTGGTCGCTGCAGTATGTGAGCCCCATTTTCCCAAGCTGCCGGCTTGTTCCTTTCCCGGGTTGCTGAGAGGCCGGGTTTATTCATCACACTGGGTGGGTCTCGATTCCTCAACCTGAAGCCACTGCAATGAGGTGGCGGGGCGTGCCTTCTCACGGGAAAGGACCGGAAATCCCTCCCCAGAGAAGAATGGGCTCCCCATACGAGCCACCAAATTGTTATAAATGAATTTCCGATGCCTCAAAAGAAACAGCACTCGAATATAAATTTAGTTTCCTCAGCAAGGCAATTTACTTTTGCAAAAGGGTGCCACTCACGTCAATCAAGATTGCAAGTGCACACTGAACAAAGGGGACCGGGAGTTTTTTATACCCTTAACGTCATCCCTATTTCTGTGTTCTTCCCCCGTGGGCTGGGGTTGGACCGCAAAATCTGAGCTGACCCAATTGGCTACTTGTAAATATTTTTCTAAATATGGAAGGGAGGGGGATGTGAGGTACAGTGGTGGAGCTTGTGAGACGTGCAGTTTCAAGGGAAAAATGGGTACAGGTAACCAAGGGAAGAGATGTGAGTTATTGATTAGAACTGACGGGAAGGGGGTAAGCTGTTTATAGTAACTTTTGGCAAGGAGAAACAAGAAAGTTAAGTTGGAGAACAAAGGGTAAGGAAGTTAACAGGCTAAACCTTTTGAAGAGAGACTCACAAAGATTCATTGTATCTTACAAACTGTACGAAATTACCCTTTTGTAGACCAAAAAAAGTAGAATATTGGCAACTTTATATGGTTTAATCCATTATTTTTACAAATATACCTTCAAAAGTTGAGAAAAAAGGGGAGGAGAAACATGGCAAAACAGAAGCCTACATCATTCATTTACCCATCCTCCCCGACACTGGAACACCAAATTTTAACAACTGTCTACACATAGGAAAGCACCGTGGCAGGAACCAAAACTCAGGTGAGTAATCACAGTACCTGGTTTTAACTTCATGTTGTGGAAAGAGGTATTGAAAAGGGCAAGAGAGACATACTGAATTACCAATGCCACCCTTCCCCCACCTCCTGGCAGCAACCCTGGAGTGTGGAGAGAGAATCTGTGCTCTCTGGGGAGGGAGAGCACATCAACTAGAGGACTTCACATTCAACTCAGTGCTACCTGGTCACAGCAGAGAATAAAGCTGTGCTGGGCTCAGCCAGTGCCCATGCATGGAGGAAGCATTTGGACCAGCCACATTCCAGAGGGGAATCATCCATTCCAGCGGTCAGAACTTGACTTCCTTGGGAAGCCATGCCACATTGAGCTGAAGTGCCTGGGGGTCATAGGTAAACTTGAAAGGCAATCTAGGACACAAGGACTACAATTTGTAGGCAGCAGCTAGTGCTAGGCTGGGCTTAGAGTCAGTGAACAAGCATGGCACATGACCTAGAGAGACACCACCTGGCACAGCTAAGGGAGAGCTTGCACCATCCCTCCCCCAACCCCAGGCTATGCAGCTCATAGCAACAAAAGTGACTCCTTCCTTCTGCATAATGAAAGAGAGTGAAGAGTAAGGAGGGCTTTGTCTTGCTTCTTGGCTACCAGCTCAGCCACAGTAGGAGAGGGCACTGAACAGAGTTGTGAGCCCCCCATTTCAGGTCCTAGCTCCTAGATGATATTTCTTGACACAACCTGAGCCAAAAGTGAATCTGCTGCCTTGAAGGGACGAGAACCCAGTCCTGGCAGGATTCATCACCTGCTAACTGAAGAGCCCTCAGACCCTGAATAATCTCCAGTGATACCAAGGGAGTACACCACAGGCCTTGGACTCTAAGATGTGCTGGCTTCAGGGGAGACCCAGCACATTCTCAGCTGTGGCAACTACAATGAAAATGATGAAAAATTGCATTTTGCAAAGCAGAGGGAAAAGTAAAGGGGACTTTGTCTTGTACCCTGGCTACCAGCTTGGCCACAGTGGAATAGAGCAACAAGCAGGTTCGTGGGGACCTGAAGTCCAGACCTAGATTCTTGAACAGTATTTCTAGACTTGGCCTGGCATGGGCCAGATGGGAGCCCAGTATCCTGAAGGGTGAGTCCCAGGCCTGACAGCATTCATCATAAGCCGATGGAAGAGCCCGTGGGCTTTAGGCAAACATTGGTGGTGGCCGAGTAGAAATCCCCATGGACTAGGGGTGGTCAAGGCCACAGAGACCTCTGCCTATAGAAAGGGAAGAGAAGAGTGGGAAGGACTTTGTCTTGTGGTCTGAGTGCCAACTTAGCTGCAGTAGAATAGAACCTCAGGTAAACTGCTGAGATTGTTGACTGTGAAAGTATAAAGCTCACTGGTATAAACACAGAAAAAAGCACAGAATAGTATAACACTGTAATGGTGGTGTGTAAACTTTTCCTGACTTAAGTAGAAAGACTAAATGATGAATCAACCAAAAATAGTAACTATAACAACTTTTCAAGACACAGACAGTACAGTAAGACATAAAGAGAAACAACAAAAAGTTAAAAAGCAGGTTCATAGTTTAAAGTATAGAGTTTTTATTAGTTTTCATGTTGTGCATTTCTTTGTTTATGTAATCAGTGTTAAGTTGCCATCAGTTTAAAATGATGGGTTATAACATATTACTTGCAAGTCTCATGGGAACATCAAATTGAAAAACATACAAAAGATATAAAAAAATAAAAAGCGTAAATTAAAGCATACCAGCAGAGAAAATCACCTTCACTAAAAGGAAGAGAGGAAGGAAGGAAAGACAGAAGAGAAGACTACAAAACAACCAGAAAACAAATAATGAAATGGCAGGAGTAAGTCCTTATCAATAACAACATTGAATGTAAATGAACTAAACTCTCCAATTAAAAGACAGAATGGCTGAATGGATGGAAAAATAAAGCCCAATGATGTGTTGCCTATAAGAAACTTACTTTACCTGAAAGATACACATGAACTGAAAATAAAGGAATGGAAAAAAGATATTCTATGACAATGGAAACCAAAAAAGAGCAGGAGTAGCTATACTTTATCAGACACAATAGATTTCAAGACAAAAACTGTAAGAAGAAGGTCATTATATAATGATAAAGGGGTCAATTCAGCAAGAGGGTATAATGGTGACAAATATATACATACCAACACTGGAGTACCCAGATATATAACGCAAATATTATTAGAACTAAAGAGAGAGATAGACCTCAATACAATAATAGCTGGAGACTTCAACACTCCACTTTCTGCATTGGGCAGATCTTGAAGACAGAAAATCAATGAAGAAACACTAGACTTAATATGCACTATAGAACAACTGGACCTAATAGATATTTACAGAACATTTCATCCAACAGCTGCAGAATACATATTCTTCTCCTCTGCACATGGATTATTCTCAAAGATAGACCATGTGTTAGGTAACAAAACAAGTCATAAAATATCCAAAAATTGGAAATAATGTCAAGAATATTCTCTGACCACAGTGAAATAAAACTATAAATCAGTAACAAGAGAAATTTTGGAAAACACATGTAAATTAAACAGTATGCTCCCAAATGACCAGTGTATCAATGTATAAATTAAGAAGGAAATGGAAAAATTTCTTGAAACAAATGATAATGTAAATACCATATACCAAAACCTATAGGATACAATGAAAGCAGTAGGAGAGAAATTGTAGCAATATGTGCCTACATGAAATAAAAACAAAAACAAAATAACTTCAAATAAATAAAACCTGTATCTTAAAGAACCAGAGGACAGGCACCATAGCTCATGCCTGTAATCCCAGCACTTTGGGAGGCTGAGGCAGGTGAAACCCCGTCTCTACTAAAAGTACAAAAATTAGTTGGGCGCAGTGGTGCGTGCCTGTAATCCCAGGTACTTGGGAGGCTGAGGCAGGAGAATTGCTTGAGCCAGGAGGTGAAGGTTGCAGTGAGCTGAGATTACATCACTGCACTCAAGCCTGGGCAACAGAACTAGACTCCATCTCAAAAAAAAAAAAAAAAAAAAGAACTAGAAAAGCAAGCACAAACCAAACCTCAAATTAGTGGAAGAAAAGAAATACTAATGATCAGAACAGAAATAAATGAATTTGAATGGAAGAAAACAACACAAAAGATCAATGAAACAAAAAGTTGGTTTCTTGAAAAGATAAAGAAAATTGACAAACCTTTAACCAGATTAAGGAAAAATGAGAGAAGAGCCAAATAGATAAAATCAGTGATGAAAAAGAAGACATTACAACTGATACTTCAGAAATTCAGAGGATCATTAGTGGCTACTATGGCAATTATATAACAATAAACTGGAAAATCTAGAAGAAATGGATAAATGCCTAGGCATATACAACCTGCCAAGATTGAACCACGAAGAAGTCCAAAACCTGAACATACCAATAACAATGAGATTGAAGCCATAATAAAAATGTCTCCTAGGGAGAGGTTGCAGTGAGCTGAAACTGTACCTTTCCACTCCAGCCTGGGCAACAAGAGTGAAACCCCATCTCAAAACAAACAAACAAACCAAAAATGTCTCCCAATATAAAGAAGCCCAGAACCTGATGGTTTCACTGATGAATTCTACTAAACATTTAAAGAAGAACTTATACCAATCCTATTGAAAGTGTTCCAACAAAAACGGTTAGAGAATGCGGGAGATTATGGCAGACTGGAGGCAGGACTAGATTGCAGCTCCAGAAAGAGCAACAGGCAGTGGCTGGCTCGCATTGTGAATTTTAGTTCCAGATGGACTGCAAGAGCAAACCAGAAATCCTGAGAGGACCCACAGACCCTCTGAAGAAAGCAGACTGCTCCTGCAGGACCTGGGAGACGCCCCCCCCGACCCACAAAAACTGAGTGCCCCAACTGTTGAAGTGGGAAAGAGAGACCCCCTCTTCCAAACATACATCCCCACTGGAGAAGCTGAAAGCTGAAGTTCTGTTTGCGTGAGAAGTTTCCGACTTTACCTGGAGCTGAGTTAATTTGGAGAGCCGAGCAAAATACAGGGGTAGAGGAAGAAGCAGAAAGGCCCTGGGAGCTTGTTGGGTCACCTACCAGGCCATTCCTGCCTGCACCACAGGGATCCAAAAGAGCAAGGGGTAAAACTACACAGTGATAAGCAAATCTCTAGCTGAACTTTGTAACCATTTGATTGGGGTGGGAAGCCTTCTGTCCAGAATTTGGGGGAGGGTGCAAATCTGGTGTGCAGACTCCACAGGTAGGGGAAGAACCAAGCCCCCGCCCCCACTTTTTTTTTTTTTTTTTTTTTTTTGCAGTTGGGAGGCGGGTAGCCTGGGACAAGTTTTCAAACCCATATAGCTCCACACCTGGAAATGATCTGGGTGTGAGGGCTGTTGGGTGGTGGGGCATGGTGGGAGTGAGACAGGCCCTTCAGTTTGTGTGGGAGCTGGATGAGGCTTGTGACTGCTGGCTTTCTCCCACTTCCCTGACAACCTGCATGACTCAGCAGAGGCAGCCATAATCCTTCTAGGTACACAACTCCAGTGAACTCAGACCCTCACTCCCATTCCCCACAGCAGCTGCAGCAAGACCTGCCCAAGGACAGTCTGAGCTCAGACACGCCTAGCCCCACCCCCACCTGATGGTCCTTTCCTACCCACCCTAGTAGTGGAAGACAAATGGCATATAATCTTGGGTGTTCTAGGGCCCCGACCACCGCCAGTTCCTCCCCCATACTACCACACCTGATGATCTCTGGAAAGCACCACCTCCTGGCAGGAGGCCAACCAGTACAAAAATAGAGCATTAAACCACCAAAGCTAAGAACCTCACAGAGTCCATTGCACCCCTCCGCCACCTCCACTGGAACAGGTGCTGGTATCCATGGCTGAGAGACCCATAGATGGTTCACATCATAGGATGCTGGGCAGGCAACACCCAGTACCAGTCCAGAGCCAGGTAGACTCTCTGGGTGGCTAGACCCGGAAGAGAGACAACAATCACTGCAGTTCAGCTCAGAGGAATCCACATCCATAGGAATAGGGGGAGAGTACTACATCAAGGGAACACCCTGTGGGACAAAAGAATCTGAACAACAGGCTTTAGCCCTAGACCTTCCCTCTGACAGAGCCTACCCAAATGAGAAGGAACCAGAAAACCTTCCCTGGTAATATGAGAAAACAAGGCTCTTCAACACCCCCCAGAAAACACACATGCTCACCAGCAATTGATCCAAGCCAAGAAGAAATCCCTGATTTACCTGAAAAAGAATTCAGGGGATCAGTTATTAAGCTAATCAGGGAGGAACCAGAGAAATGCGAAGCCTAATGCAAGGAAATTCAAAATATGATACAAGAAGTGAAGGGAGAAATATTCAAGGAGGTAGATAGCTTAAAGACAAAACAATAAAAAACTCAGAAAACTTTGGACACACTTTTAGAAATGCAAAATCCTCTGGAAAATCTCAGCAATAGAGTTGAACAAGTAGAAGAAATTTGAAGCTCAAAGACAAGGTCTTTAAATTAACCCAATCCAACAAAGACAAAGCAAAAAGAATAAGAAAATATGAACAAAGCCTCCAAGAAGTCTGAGATTATGTTAAACAACTAAACCTAAGAATAATTGGTGTTCTGAGGAAGAAGAGAATTCTAAGAGCTTGAAAAATGTGTTTGGGGAATAATCGAGGAAAACTTCCCGGCCTTCCTAGAGACCTAGACATCCAAATACAAGAAGCAGAAAGAACACCTGGGAAATTCACTGCAAAAAGATCTTCACCTAGGTACATTTCCATGAGGTTATCCAAAGTTGAGACAAAGGGAAGAATCTTAAGAGCTGTAAGACAGAAGCACCAGGTAACCTATAAAGGAAAACCTATCAGATTAACAGCAGATTTCTCAGCAGAAACCCTATAAGCTAGAAGGGATTGGGGCCCTATCTTCAGCCTTCTCAAACAAAACAATTACCAGACAAGAATTTTGTATCCAGTGAAACTAAGCATCATATATGAAGGAAAGATACAATCTTTTTCAGACAAACAAATGCTGAGAGAATTCACCATTACCAAGCCACCACTATAAGAACTGCTAAAAAGAGCTCTAAATCTTGAAACAAACCCTAGAAACACATCAAAACAGAACCTGTTTAAAGCTTAATTCACACAGGACTTATAAAACAAAAATACAAGTTAAAAAGCAAAATAGGCCATAAAATGAGCCTCAATAAATTTTTTAAAAATTGAAATTATATCAAGCACTCTCTGACCACAGTGGAATAAAACTGGAAATCAACTCCAAAAGCAATCTTCAAAACCATACAAATACATGAAAATTAAATAACTGCTCCTGAGTGAGCACTGGATTAAAAATGAAATCAAGGTAGAAATTTAAAAATTCTTCAAACTGAATGACAATAATGACACAACGTATCAAAACCTCTGGGGTAAGGCAAAGGTGGTGCTAAGAGGAAAGTTCATAGCCCTGAACGCCTATATCAAAAAGACTGAAAGAGCACAAACTGACATTCTAAGGTCACACCTCAAGGAACTAAGGAAACAGGAACAAACCAAACCCAAACCCAGCAGAAGAAAGGAAATAACCAAGATCAGAGCAGAACGAAATGAAATTGAAACAAATGAACAAAATACAAAAGATAAATGAAACAAACAGGTGGTTCTTCGAAAAGATAAATAAAATTGATAGACCATTAACAACATTAACCAAGAAAAGAAGAGAGAAAATCCAAATAACCTCACTAAGAAATGAAACAGGAGATATTACAACTGACACCACTGAAATACAAAAGATCATTCAAGGCTGCTAAGAACAGCTTTACCCGCATAAACTAGAAAACCTAGAATACATGGATAAATTCCTGGAAAAATATAACCCTCTTAGCTTAAATCAGGAAGAATTAGATACCCTGAACAGATCAATAACAAGCAGTGAGATTGAAATGGTAATTTAAAAATTATCAAAAAAAAGGGTCCATGACCAGACGGATTCACAGCAGAATTCTACCAGACATTTGAAGAAGAATTGGTACCAATCCTTTTGCCACTCTTCCACAAGATAGAGAAAGAAGCAACCCTCTCTAGTTCATTCTATGAAGCCAGCATCACCCTAATACCAAAACCAGGAAAGGACATAACCAAAAAAGAAAACTACAGACTGATATCCTTGATGAACATAGATGCTAAAATCCTCAACAAAATACTAGCTAATCAAATCCAACAATATATCAAAAAGATAATCCACCTTGATCAAATAGATTTTATACCAGGGATGGAGGGATGGTTTGCCATAATCAAGTCAATAAATGTGATGCACCACATACACAGAATTAAAACAAAAATCACCTGATCATTTCAATAGATGCAGAAAAAGCATTCAACAAAATCCAGCATCCCTTTATGATTAAAACTCTCGGCAAAATCAGCAAACAAGGGACATACCTTAATGTAAAAAAGCCATCTGGGGAAAAGTTGAAAGCATTTCCTCTGAGAAGTGGAACAAGACCAGGATGTCTACTCTTACCACTCTTCTTCAACATAGTACTGAAGTCCTAGCCAGAGTAATAAGACAACAGAAAGAAACAAAGGGCATCCAAATCAGTAAAGACGAAGGCAAACTATCACTGTCACCCTTTTAAACAAATGGTGCTGGGATAATTGGCTAGCCACATGTTGGAGAATAAAACTAGATCCTCATTTCTCACCTTATACAAAAATCAAATCAAAATGGATTAAGAACTTAAATCTAGGATGGGAAACTATAAAAACCCTAGAAGATTGATACCCAGTAGTGGGATTTCTGGATCAAATGGTAGTTCTACTTTTGGTTCTTAAAGGAATCTTCACACTGTTTTCCATAGTGGCTGTACTAGTTTACATTCCCACCAGCAGTGTAGAAGTGTTCCCTGTTCAACGCATCCATGCCAACATCTACTGTTTTATGATTATAGCCATAATCAAAACTCACTGGGGATATTGGAAAAACCCTTCTAGACATTGGCTTAGGCAAGCATTTCATGACCAAGAACCCAAAAGCAAATGCAATAAAAACAAAGATAAATAGCTGAGACCGAATTAAACTAAAGAGTTTTTGCTCAGCAGAAGGAACAGTCAGAAGAGCAAACAGATATCCCACAGACTGGGAGAAAATCTTCACAATCTATACATGTGACAAAGGACTAATACCCAGAATGTACAATGAACTCAAACAAATCAGTAAAAAAAGAAAAAAATCCCTTCAAAAAGTGTGCTAAGGACATGAATAGACAATGCTCAAAAGAAGATACACAAATGGCCAACAAACACATGAAAAAATGCTCAATATCGCTAATGATCAGGTAAATGCAAATCAAAACCACAATGTGATACCACCTCCTGAAAGAATGGCCATAATCAATGTGATACATCATATCAACAGAATAAAGGACAATAACCATATGATCATTTCAATTGATGCTGAAAAACCATTTGATAAAGTTAACGTCCCTCCATGATGAAAACCTTTAAAAAACTGGGTATAGAAGGTCTTAACATAATAAAAGCCATCTATGATAGACCCACAGCTAGTATTAAACTGAATAGGGAGAACCTAAAAGTTTGCCCTCTTAAACCTGAAACATAACTATGCTGTTAATCAGCATAGTACTGTATGTTTTAGAGCAATTAAAAAAGATAAAGAAGTAAAGGGCATCCAAATCGGAAAGGAAGAAATTAAATAATCCTTGTTTGTGGATAAATGATGTTAAATTTAGAAAAACCTGAAGACCACCAAAATACTATTAGAACTGATAAACATATTCAGTAAGTTGCAGGATACAAAATCAACATACAAAAATCACTAGCATTACTATATGCCAACAGTGAACAATCTGAAAAAGAAATAAAAAACTAATTCCATTTGTAATAGCCACAAATAAAATTTTTATACAAAAGACAGGCAATAAAGCCTGCTGGCAAGCATGTGGAGAAAAGGGAACCCTTGTACACTGTTGGTGGGAACATAAGTTAGTTCAAACACTATGGAGAACAGTTTGGAGGTTCCTTAAAAAGTTAAAAATAGAGCTACAATACGACCCATTAATCCCACTGCTGGGTGTATACCCAAAAGAAAGGAAATCAGTATATTGAAGAGATATCTGCATTCTTATGTTTGTTGCAGTACTGTTTACAATAGCTAAGATTCAGAAGCAACCTAAGGGTCCATCAACAGATGAATGGAAAATAAAATGTGATACATATACACAATGGAGTACCATTCAGCCATAAAAGAGAATGAGATCCAGTCATTTGCAGCAACTTGGATGGAGCTGGAGATCATTACATTAAGTTAAATAAGCTAGGCACAGAAAGACAATTATAGCACGTTCTTGCTTATTTGTGGGATCTAAAAATCAAAACAATTGAACTCATTGAGATAGAAAATAGAAGGATAATTACCAGAGGCTTGAAAGGGTAGTGGGGTGGGGTGGGGTGGGGTGGGGTGGAGGTGGGATGGTTAATGGGTCCAAAAAATAGTTAGAAATAATACATAAGACCTGCTATTTGATAGCACAACAGGGTTACTATAGTCAATAATAACTTTAATTGTACATTTTAAAATAACTTAAAGAATGTTATTGGATTATTTGTAACTCAAATAATAAGTGCTTGAAGGGATGGATACTCCATTCTCCATGATGTGCTTATTTCACATTGCATGTCTATATCAAAACATTTCATGTACCCCATAAATATATACACCTACTATGTGCCCACAACAATTTAAAAAGTAAAAAAAGAAACCCATATATCCAAGAGATATCTGCCCTCTTATGTTTGTTACAGCACTGTTCACAATGGCCAAGATTTGGATGTAACCTAAGTATTCATTAACAGATGAATGGATAAAGAAAATGTGGTACATATACATAATGAAGTATTATTCAATCATAAAAGAGGATAAGATTCTGTCATTTGTGACAACATGGATGGCACTGGAGATTGTTTTGTCAAGTGAAATAAGCCAGGCACAGCAAGACGAACTTTGCATGTTATCACTTATTTGTGGGATCTAAACATCAAAACAATTAAACTCATGGAGATAGAAAATAGAAGAATGCTTACCAGAGGCTAGGAAGTATAGTGGGGAGTGTGGGTGGAGTGGTGGGAATGGTTAATGGGTACTGAAAATAGAAAGAATGAATAAGACTTAGTGTCAGATAGAACAACCCAGAGACTATAGTCAATTATAATTTAATTGTACATTTAAAAATAACTAGAGAATATAATTGGATTGTTTGAAACACAAAAGCGTAATGCCTGGGGAGATGTGTTCCAAATTTTTCATGATTTAGTTATCACACATTGCATGCCTGTATCAAAATATCTCATGTACCCCATAAATATATATACCTACTTTGTACTCACAAAAATTAAAAATAAATTTAAAAATTGAGAGAAAAGGTAAAAATAAAGAGTAATGGAGGCCATTTCTAACTATATGCTTTAGTTTCAGATAGTAATAATTCCCTATAATAAAAGATGAGGGCTCATTTGTTTATTTTTTAAAACCACATGCTAATCTAGATCATACTGAATACATCCCTTGTTGTAGTTATAGTTTCTTGTTTTGTAAAGTTTTCCTTTTATTTTTTTCTTAGTGAAAATCAATATGGATTAAATGTTTAGTACCAGCATTTTCTTCTATGACTTCCCAATCCTGAGCCTTTTATCTTGATTTCATCTCTTGATGGTTTTATTATAGCATTCATGATAATGTCTGTTTTTTGTCTTATTGCCGAATGGCACATTAGATGTATTTAGTAGGTCACAGTTTCCTTTCCTCTGTATGTAGCAGACATTTTCCTGTTGTCGTCTGACCCTGAATATGGTGCTAGTTAGCCCTTTATCACAGCTTTTTTCATTAAACTTTTGTTTGGTTCAGTTTAATTATCATATAATTTTTCCCTGCAGGTAGAATTTATAGAAGTTTTATTACCTGAGTTTTCTTTATATTTGAGAATACCTGCTACATTTCTATTTAGATGGCAAATTGGCCGAGGATAATATCATTTGGTCACCTTTGTCTTAAACCTTGTATATAATGATTTGCCATTTTCTGGCTCCGAATGCTGTGAAGTAATCTGAAGCCTCCTAGATTCTCTGTCTCTCTCTCTCCCTTTCTCTCTCTCTCTCTCATTCTCTCTCTCTCTCACACACACACACACATGTGACAGGCTTCTTTCCTGACTGAATGCTTGGAGAAATTTTTCTTAATCCTTGAAAGTCAGTAACTGGTCCAGGATTTTGTTTTAGTGTCAATAATTCAGCATTTTTTTTAAACACAGGGTTCTCTCTCTGTCTGTAGAGTACATTACCCGTTATTTTCAAAGAAATTTTCTGTTTTTATATCTTTGAATTGCTTTTCTGTTCCATTAGGCTTTCTCCTGCTGAGAAACCTATTTTCTTTATGTTGGCGTCTCTTTAAAAAAGTATTACTTATATTTCTTCAATTGTTTTAGCTAGTTTTTAATTTCCCTTTGTATTTGCTATCATTATCTCAAGCTTGTCTATATGTCAGGATTTTAATTTTTACCTAGTTATAGTGTACTCTTTATCACTTGACTTTTAAAAAAGTCATTCTCTAAAGATGTTGTAACTTTTTCTTTGACATTTTTTGGTAGTTTTCTATTTTGATATAAGTTAAAACAGAAAATTTGCAAAATACAAGTATAGTACAAAGAACTCTTCCCCCACATACACTGTACCCGGTTCACTAGCTATGTTTTGTCCTATTTGCATACACACACGTGTGCACACACATGCACATACACACCCTCCTTTTGTACCTCCTTTTGTTCTGAACAGTGAGAGGAAGTTAAAAACATTGTAACACTTTACAAAAAAATATGTCAGTGTGTGTGTCCCAGAAAAACTGCTTTCTCTTATATAACCATAGCACAATGATCAAAATCAGGAAGCTCACATTACAAGATACAATGTGATTTTCTAATCCACATGGCATATTTAGTTTTTTAAAACTACCCCATTGATGTTTGTTACAGCTTGTTTTTTTCTGGTATAGGATCCAATCCAGGAGCAGGTGACCATTTAATTAGTTTTCCTTTGATGCCTGTCATGTTGTTGCTCCATCTTTGAGGTTAATTTTGCTCTTTTCAAAAAGTTTGCTTTCATTACTTCTTTTGTAGCCAAAGGACTTGTGGAAAATCTTATGGTCCTGATCTATGTTTTCTACCAAATTTTATGTTTTTTATTTTTTTCACCCGTTACATGCTAAAGATACTAGTTTGTTTATATATCTAGTTGTGTCATTTCTTTGGATTTCACTTGCCTATGCTTATTGTGAGTGGCTTTGTTCCTACCTTCCATCTTTTCTGATATAGTGAAACTAAATTCTTCCTGAAATTCTCTTCACTCTTACTGAGCTCTCTCAGTCTTTTCTGGGGAGCTACTGTTTGCGGGTTCTGTATTGTACTCTTCTGTATCCTGCTAGCTCCAAGGCATGGGGAGGAGGATAGGACTGGGGAGCTCAGCTTTCTCTGTTGAAAGATCTGGGCTTTCTTGTCTTTTTCTGGATTTTATTAAATGCCAGATTTCTATTGACCTGTTTTCCTGTGTGCTGTCTCTGTGGGGAAACCTTCAGATTTGCAATTTTCTTGTCTCTGTTAAGATTTTTCAGATAGATGATTAGCCAGCTTTAATAAGGATTTCAGATGTCTCCTCCTTACTTCTTTTCACCTACTTTTCTCCCTATTGACGTGGTATTGGTGAGACTAGCCTGTTCTTTTTATGACTGTCTCTTTCCTATTCTTCATTTGGTGTCTGTGTGTTGGGCACACACTGTGTATTGGAATAACACCCAGCCACACCTCAATAAATTTTATTTGGTTGACTCTTCTCAAAGTTATTATGTCAATTGTATCCCTTTGTTTAGCTCCTTTTATGATTTTATTTTTATTATTCTGCTTTTTCTATTTATTTAATAGGGGTTAGAGGAAAAAGTCAATAATCCATATTTACCCATCATTCATTTACCTTGCTTGAATTATTAAAAATCAAACATAAATCTTCCTAGAGATAATTGTTACATTACAGGCCAATTCTGAAATAAAGTATGTGAAGTCTGAACTGGATCTAAAAGGACAAACATACAGTTTTTAATTTTAAAAAGAGCTTTGTAATTTTAAAAATTGATACATTTTATTATTTACAAATTGAATGCAATAGTGTACAAACGCTAGTCTTTTTTTCAGCCATTCCAGCTTTTCCATTTTTAAAAATTATCTTTGTTCCTATGTGCTTCAGTTTTTTCCTGTGTCACTTATTTTCTCATACACTAACATCAGTATTTTCACTAGAACACATAACTTTTTATATACAAAAGCAAGCACACACTTGGTAGCCTGTGAACTGCCAGGGCTTTGCTGATGTCCAACAGCAGAAGGCAACCACTTTCACACTTAACGCAGACATGGATTTTTTTTTTTTTTTCTGTTGGGAAGATTGGCTTTGTATGAGTGCACTGTTCATGAATACGGTCACTCTGAGAAAGGAAGAAGATGACATATCAGGCTAATCAACCCAACAGTCAGTGAGGTGACAAGTGCTACAGTGACATAAGGCTTCATTGTAGAAAAGTCACTGACTCTGCACAAGGCCTTTTTACCCTGTTTTGCGTCAATGAGCAGAACAATTCCATTCACCTTTCACTACTCAGGGTGCAGTCTGGAAAAACTTCATGAGGTTTGCTCTCAGACATACACCTCCACACCACTGGATGCTTATATAAATGTAAATATGTTCAAATCTCTGTGAAAGCTGCATTATTGTGTACAGCAACCTCTCTGACTTGTTTTCTGCTATTTCTAGGATGCATCCACTTCTTCTTTCTAAGTTCTATGAAAAACAACCATGTTAAGGAGCTGGGAGAATAAGACAGAAAATAACTACATTAGGTAAACAGTTTCTCCTTTGATTCAAATTGCTGTGGCTGATATCAGACTGCCATTCTAGAAGTACCTGAGAAGGGCAGAGGTGTTTAAGGAAACAGTTTCTCCTTGGATTCTGATTGCTGTGGCTGATATCAGAGTGCCATTCTAGAAGTACCTAGCATGGACAGATGTGTGTGTGTGTGTGTGTGTGTGTGTGTGTGTGTTGCAGGCACAACATCATGATGAATCGAGAGACAAGAGACAGAAAGCAGATTGGTTGATAACCAGGTTCCCCTGTCAGGGCGTGTGGTTTGAAACGAAACCACCACTTACTAGCTTCATAATATTGGGCAAATTACTTCCCTAATCTGTCATTGCATCAGATTCCATATTGAAAGATGAGCATAATAATAGAACCTATCTAATAAAATTATTTGATCATTAATTAAAATTATATATATGAGATATTATATTTATGAAAACTTATCTCTCTCTCCACACACACAATTAACAGTGCCTAGCACATAGTAAGTCCTCAAAAAACTGTTAAGTTATATAAGAAACCAATAGGTAGTGCTTTTGATACCGGAAAGGATCCCCCGTCCCCCTCACAGGGCGTGCGATGGGGGTGTGGCTCACTTCTTCAGTACCCCACTGCTCAAACCTCTAGGGAGCATACAGACAGGCTGACTGTGGGGCTCCAACTCCACGAGAGTGTCTAGGGGTGAATGTTTACAGATGCTAAGGCCCCAGTGGGTGTGTGTTACAGGATGCCGTTTTAGTTTGCCATCTATAGGTGGCTTGTGTTAACCAGCTCAGTTAGACCCTCTACCTTGTCACAAGGATGGAGGGCTTTCTGTATCCCAGGTTCTTGCCTTGGGGTACCAGAAGAATCGGATCACACGTGGTCTTGGAGAATGAGTGCAAAGTTTTATTGAGTAGAAGTAGCTCACCACCACTGGGGGAGCCAGAAGGGAGATGGTATTTCCCTGGAGTTGGGCCACTCAGCAGCCCCAGCTCTCCTCCAACTGCTCTGGCCAAACTCCACCCCATCCTGCTGGTCAGTGGCCTGCTGGTCAGTGGTCTGCTGGTGTGCTGGTTTCTGTCGGTGTGCTCTTCTGCCAGTGTGCTGCCTCAACGTCCTCTCGCTATCCAGCTACTTGTGTCTTTTTCCGCTGATGTACTGCTCTTGACATCTGGCTACCTGTGTGTTTTTCCACTCGGGTCTCGGGTTTTTATAGGCCCAGAATGAGAGCATGGTGGGCCAGAGTGGTCTTGGAAAATGCAACATTTGGGCATGAAAGCAGGAGTGCCTGTTGTCACCTAGGTCCAAGGGAGTGGAGCCCTAGCCAGGGACCTGCCTTTCTCTACTCAGCACTTCCTCGACCCCTCCGGTATCATTCTCCCCTCTGAAGATGTACATCTAACTACCTTTAGAATATGGACTGTGACCTGTCTTTGCTGCTTCCTGCTGACAGGGGGCATTGTTCTGGGGTAAATGGCAGTCAGACTCCTAGCGGTCTAAGGGTTCCTAGACAAGGGGAGCCATCTTTCGAGGCTCCGGTTGACCATTTGGATTTTGATGGCTTCTAGGCTTGAGAGTAAAAAAAAAAAAAAGTTTTATAAGGTTAAGTATGCATGGGTGAAACATGTGTATTATACAAGGAAAGAATTTAGTGCCAGAGATTACAGAGATAAGAAGTGAAATATACTAACAGCAACATTCTACCCTGAGCTGTTTCACCCTGGTGAAAGAAATTAAACGTTTTATGGGAGCAGTTAAACTTTGGAAGAGAAATAACTGTTCTTGCCGTATCTTTTAGCAGTTAGCAGGCACATCCTGGGAATTTTGGGGTTTGTGGGCTTACATGGTGGTCATCAAAGCTTTTGTCTGTTTCCTGCATCTCCTCTCGCTTTTTTAGGCCTCCTGTCTCTATTATAAAAGACCAAGTTGGCCACTTTCAGGAGGTCCTCTAATGTACTATCTGGTCCCAGGGCCCATTTTTGCAACTTCCTCCTGATGTCAGGAGCTACCTGGGTAATACATTTATCTTTTAGGATTAGCTGTTCTCGACTGAATCAGGAGATAGAGGTGTGCTTTGTCAAGGCCGCTCTTAGCCTTTCCAGGAAGGCAGTGGGATTTTCATCAAATCCTTAGTCGATCATGGACAACTTAATATAATTGAGAGGCTTAGTCTTAGTCCTACGTAAGCCCTCCATTATGCACACCTGAAAGTGTCTTCTTTTCCAGTCTTCCATCTCGTCACTGGGATCCCATTTAGGATTATTTACTGGTATTGCTTCTCTTCCAGTTGGATAATATTCATCCCCTTCTCTGACGCTATATATGAAAGAAAGCTTATCCCCAAATCTCTCCGCTGCTGACAGAGCAGCCTGCTTCTGAGTGTCCATTGGGGTTTGATTCAAAAGTAACATAACGTCTCTCCAGGAGAGTTCAAATATTTGGGTATAATTCTGGAAAGCCTCTATTTATCTATCAGGGTCATCTGAAAACTTGCCAAGATCCCCCTTAATTTGCTTTAAGTCCTATACGGAGAAGGGGACCTGGACCTTACTAGGCCCAAATTTACTGGGCATTTGTTGGAGGGTTAAGAGTGAGACTGGAGTTTGTCTAGAGCAAAGATTTTTAGGAGGAGGCAGGTGGGAAGCTGAAGCTGTATAGGGTGGTCTGGGTGGACCCCGAGTAACAGGGTCAGAGGTAGCTGGATCCTCTGCTGGGGTTGCCCCTGGGACTCATATTTTTAGTTGCTTGAGCTTGCCCCTTGCAACCTTCCCTGAGATGCCAAACAGGAGGGCAATCCTACTCTGTCAGCAAAGGTCTGGATTGCCTTGCAAGCTATAGAAAGCCTACACTTATGGGGCCTCAGGCCATCTGTCCTCACGTCTATAGAAAAGTTCCAAATGCCAGATGGTATAGAAATGAATGGTTCCTTCCTGAGGCCAAGCCACTCTTTCCTGTAAATCATAATTTGGCCAAACCTTTTTGCAGAGGGCTAAGAGGCACTTTTCCTCCAGATTCTGAGGCTCAAGGCAGTCCTAGTGGTTCAGAATACACTCCAGAGGAGTATAGGCTGAGCGTGGTGAAAATAACTGGTTGCCCATTCTGAAAGACAGTGAATAGAGGTGTCCCTCATTCCCTTTCTTCTTTCAACAAAGACTCAGAAAATGAATGTCCTCCTTTCACTCTCCACTGCTTATCCCTGAGCCCCGATGACCTTGGCAGGTGCCGGCCATGGATACTGATGCAGTATGTACCCACGAAGCAGGGAAAACCTGGAGAATAGGAATTAACCACCCTCACCTTTGCCCCCATTTCTCCCTGCTTTCAGCAAACCTTGAGTTTCCTGAGCCTGTTTATGCCATGAAGCATGGCCTCCTTCCGTGAGGTGGGGGGTTTAGTTGGTAGGAATTGGTTCTGCCCATTTACATTATACCTGTTGCCTGGCTTTGAATCCTTCAAACCTTGTTTTTCTTTCTAGGGCCTCAGCCTGAAGCTTGGAGTCCAGTTTGGGACTGAAAAGGTATTTTAGAGGCTGTTTATATCTGTTTAGAGTGTCTCAAATGTGCCCTGTCGAATTTGCAGTTATCAGTCAGCAGGGGCCATTACTCTGTTAACTTCCCTATTAGAAACAGAGTTGGTGGTGGGGGACGCCTCTCACTTAGAAGAGGAAAAAAAAAAAGAAAAAAGAAAAACAGTTTAAGAGGAAAAGGGGGAAGATTCTGGGGGAAGAACCCCTTGCTTAGTACAACTGGAACCCTCTAATCCTTATATTTTTACCCGATTTCAGACTAGGCTGAATTCCTTGGCCAGGGAAAGAAAGGTTCCATTAGCGTGGTGGGTGAGAAGCACCCATTCGTTGACCCTGTGGGGTCATGGTTACCGTCGCAGCTTTGTTCCATACCCACTCGTGGCTGTTGGGCTTGGCCTTTGCCTGCTGCTGGCATGCCTAGGGACCCAAGCTGGGAGGGGAAAGGGTAAGAAGAGGTGCCCTGAGCTGTGTGTGTCTGTGGCTGTTAAGGTGGAGGCATACATGGCACCTCTAGGAAAAATTGATCTGATTTGCACCTTTGATGGCTGAACCTAATGCTCGTTTTACTTAGTAACATTGCCATAGCCTGTAGCAAAACTCTTAACATTATAAAGAAAGAGATAAAAGCCATTTCAAACCATATGAGAGAAAAGATACGAAGTCTGGGAATTTTGACTGGCTGGTAAGGGCAGAGTTTTGAAGGGAAACAGAGCTTCTTACCCGCAGAAAAGAGAGAAGTGGGAGGTTTTGGAAGAGAGGCAGACATGACAGTTTCACATTCATTCACACTCATCTTCCAGGATCCTGGCAGAGCTCCCATTTGAAATGGGAAAGGTTCCCTAGTCCCCCTTGCAGGGCATGCAATGAGGGTGTGGCTTGCTTCTTCAGTGCCCCACTGCTCTAACCTCTCGGGGATCATACAGATAGACACTTAACGACAGTGTCTAGGGGTGAATGTTTACAGCTCTGGAAACCCCGGTGGGCATGTGTTACAGGGTGATCTTTTAGTTTGCCCTCTGTAGGTGGCTTGTGTTAACCAGCTCAATTAGACCCTCTAGCTTGTCACAAGGACAGAGGACTTTCTGTATCCTGGGTTCTTGCCTTGGTGTCCCAGAAGAATTGGATCACACGTGGTCTTTGAGAATGAGTGCAAAGTTTTATTGAGTGGAAGTAGCTCTCCGCTGATGGGGAAGCGAGAAGGGAGATGGTTTTCCCCTAGAGTTAGGCTGCTTGGTGGCCCCAGCTCTCCTCCGACTGCCCTAGCCAAACTCCATCTCAACCCGCTGGTTGATGGGCTGCCAGTGTGCCAGAGTCTGTCAGTGTACTCTTTTGCCAGCATGATCGCTTGACGTCCTCTTGCCGTCCAACCACTTGTGTCTTCTTCAGCTGATGTGCTGCTCTCAACATCTGGCCACCTGTGTGTCTGCCTGCTAGTGTCTCAGGTTTTTATAGGCCCAGGATGGGGATGTGGTGGGCCAGGGTGGTCTTGGGAAATGCAACATTTGTGCACAAAAGCAGGAGTGCCTGTCCTCACCTCGGTCTGTGGTGTGGAGCCTTAGCCAGGGACCTGCCTTTCTCTATCCAGCACTTCCCTGCCGTACTTCCGTATCACTTCCTACATACAGTAAGATGTTCTTGGTAAACCCAATTTTTAATAAACTCTAAAAGCTGTTTCCATTCTAGAACTAATTATCATCTGTATTGCTTTGAGGATTATAGTTAGCTGTAGTTCATGCCACTTACTATTCCTTCCACAAATAGCTTTATATAAATAACATTATAACTACTTCCTTGATGAGCTTAACATATTGGTATAACTTACTTATAAAGACACTTTGTCAGTTTTTGGATGTTGCTGTAGCCTGAAGAAATTTAGGAAATACACATTGTGAAAAAGTATTAGTAATAATGCACTTTAAAGCATTTACTTCTTCAATAGTTAAAAATGATTTATTTGTTTCAAACTCAATCTGATTTGTGGTTTAAGAATCTTCATGGTCTTTAAGTTCCCACAACAATCTTGTGTTTGTATGACTTCACAGATAATTAACTGACCCAAGTAAAAGAGATGAAAGCACTTTTTCTTACATAAGAAATAATAAAAATGCACCAGATACTAGACAATAGGCCATACTGTCAGTGAAATAAAACAGTGAGGCAGTGGCTTTCTGAGTAACTGGAGTCTCTGTTCATAGGTTGACCATTAAGTAATGTATTAAACTGTAAAAGTGCTAATCTAATCAGGATTTATAGTTCACAAATTAACTAGATAACCCTTGAAAAGGCAGCCAAATTACAAAGAGATAGAATGACAGTCTTTTTGCTTTAGTGTGTCTTTGAATTGCAGAAAACAAATTGGGTGCACATAGAAGTGAAAACATATTTAAAAGTTAATAAAAGGAATATGACACCATTTAATCAGTAATAATAATTACTGGTTGCTTTTATATGTGATATTGCTCCATTTGATCTTACCAGCTATTTGGTGAAGTAGATGGGGCAGATGCTACTCTTAATTTCCTTTCTTCATATTCAATAACTGAGGCTCTGGGCAATGCAGTAATTGCCCATGGTCTCCCCCAAATGTATAGCAGAGGCAAGGCACAACCCCAGGCAAAGCTACTCCCACATTTCTTTGTCTTGCCACTGTATAACAATGCCACATAAATAATTTGAAACCTTTACTTCAAATCAATTTTGTAATCACTTGTATTAGTTAATTCTTACACTGCTATAAGAAATAACTTATAAAAAAAACTTACAACTTATAAAAAAAAAAGAAGTTTAATTGGCTCAGTTTTGCAGAGTGCACGGGAAGCATGGCTGTGGAGGCCTCAGGAAACTTATAATCATGGCAGAAGGGGAAGCAGGCACATCTTCACATGGCCAGAGCAGGAGGAAGGGGTGGATGAGAAGTGCTACACACTTTTACACAACCAGATCTCATGAGAACTCTCTATCATGAGAACAGCAAGGAGGAAATCTTCTCCCATGATCATGTCACCATTCATTAGACCCCTCCTTCAACACTGGGGATGATAATTTGACATGAGATTTGGGTGGGGACACAAATCCAAACCATATCACCACTTAAGAAGGGGAGGGTGTGGGCAGAGTGAAGGTAAAGGGATGCAAGCATGGAGAGAATAGGAAAAGGAGAAATAAACAAGACATAGTGCAGAGGGGAGAGAAGATGGAAAGAATAAAAATTAAGGAAGGCTAAAGTGTTAGAAATAGGTTAGAAATAGGGCTTTGTCGCCCAGGCTGGAGTGCAGTGGTGCGATCTCAGCTCACTGCAAGCTCCGCCTCCCGGGTCCGCTACCATGCCCGGCTAATTTTTTGTATTTTTAGTAGAGACGGGGTTTCACTGTGTGGGCCAGGATGGTCTTGATCTCCTGACCTCGTGATCCGCCCGCCTCGGCCTCCCAAAGTGCTGGGATTACAGGCGTGAGCCACCGCGCCCGGCCCACACTGTCTTTAATATTAGGATGTAGATATGTAGCTATTCTAGATAGTCCTTTAGAGTTGTTGTTGTTGTTCCTTATTGGGAAATAGCCTCTCTGATTGGTTCTCATTCTTTGAAGTTTTTATATTTCTTTCTTTAGTGTTTTATTTCATGTAAGTGCTTATTTATCTATGGAATATAGTTTTATGTATGTGTTTTAAATGACTTCAGTTTTAGAAATGCACCTTAGAACTCTATATTTTATCTATTTTTTTTCTCCTTAGTCTAATTGCTATTATTTTTAAAGAGATTCCTCAATGATCAGAGAAGGTACTCTTACTCCAGGGATAGAAAAGGTTTAACTATAATTTATTTCTCAACAATCAACTGACTTGCCAGTTGTAACTTTTCTAATATAAATGTTAATCCTGTCTTACCTGGTGCTGAATTAGAAAAATCAGCAGACAGATTTGTGTACAATTGACCTTTTGAGTTTAACACTAACCTACAATAGGGTTGTTATGAGCAGTTTTATTTTTCTCTGCCTTGATTTTTCTGTTACCTAAAATCAAGTGGTATCACCTTTGTTCCTGTTAACTTTACAGGTATTCTGAAATATAATTTTGAGAATAAATAGTTCTAGAAAAATAGACTCATTCTATTTGCACAACTCGGAACAGCTTTATGCTCATTCAATTAGCTCAAATGCATAATAGAGTTTGGATATCTCACCTGCTGGTATTCTTTAGATCAAAGCATTGCTGTTGGGTTTCAGTACTGTAATTCTACCAGTTCCAAATCCTGAATTTACTGCTTTCTTGTGGGAGCATTCCCTTTCATTAGGACATGTAAAGGTGCCTTGGGTCTTCTTTTACCATACGGAAAAATAGGAGAGAAGATAATAGCTTAAAGCTAAAGAATTAGATTCTGGAACAGAGTGATTTACAATATTGGTGAGCTACCAGAGATTAGTTCTAGTTTCAGCTCTTCCACTATATGGCCGTGTGACTTTCAGCAAGTTATTAGTTCTTCATGGGCCCATAATTCCCTGATCTCTAAGTGAAGATGGAAGTAATTAGGAGGTTTAAAAAATTTTAACTAAAAAATCTTTTGTCTTTTTCAAAATTAATCTTATATAGAGCCCCTAAATTTAGATCAGGTAAAGTCCTGATTGCTGAGGATATGGTGGGAGCAGGAACCAAATCCTAAGCTTATTGAACGTACCCATGCATCATGATTTCAAAGTCAAGGGGCTAAACAAATTTAGGGACACTTCCATGTGTAAATTTATTGAGGTCTATTTTTCAGTGGGAATAATCTGATTTACTTTCAGTAGGGAAATCTCTATTTGCTCAAAAATGTCAAGTTGATACTAACCACCAAAAAAAAAAAAAAAAAAAAAAAAGTCAAGTCCACTGTAGAACACATGTATGTTGATGTTTGGTTCCTGTGACCAGGAGGAGGTTTATTTGGTCCTCTCATAAAAGTAAAGGGCTTTGGAAGGCCGAGGTGGGCAGATCACGAGGTCAGGAGTTCAAGAGCAGCCTGACCAACATGGAGAAACCCCGTCTCTACTAAAAATACAAAATTAGCCGGGTGTGGTGGCACATGCCTATAATCCCAGCTAGTTGGGAGGCTGAGGCAAGAGAATCATTTGAACCCAGGAGGCGGAGGTTGCGGTGAGCCAAGATCACACCATTGCACTCCAGCCCAGGCAACAAGACCGAAATTCTGTCTAAAAAAAAAAAAGGGAAGAATAGCAACCAGTAATTTTGACAGTTTTAACAGTCATCATAGTATAACTTTATGTATAAGTTAGGTGGCTCATTATAATTTCAGCAGTGAAAAAAGAAGGCATTGTAGCCTTTCTAATATACAATGATATTTAGTTACATACTTGAATTTTTGGTAGTTTATATGAAGATACATTTGCCTAAAGACTTTGTTTGTTTAACTTGCAGTATTTGTCCTTAGCTAGGCTAAATCATAAGCCAGCTTCATGAAAAGAAAAATTTAAGGCTTCTCTGCTTTCAAATATGAACAGTTATTATCTACTCAAACAAAGCAAGGAAGTCAAAAAAGAAAGAGCAACTTTGCCAAGGCTAATCTTTCCCTTAGACTGTGTGGGAGTAAAGCTTTTATTTCTTATAAGAAAAAAGATAACAAAATGTCCAACAGGTTGAGTGGCTGCAAAATATTGTAGCTTTAAAGGGGGTCATTTGATTTTTTTTTTGAAATTTTATGAGGTCTCAGGACATTTGACACATGTTATAAATGTAATGTATATTTACAAATCAATATGATAAAAATGACTTGCTACCCATGCCCCAATTTGGAATCTCAAATCAAACTTACCTCACAAACATTAGAAAATTGAGGAATAATTAAAAATCTATGCTGACCTTCTTTGTATTGCCTGTAATTTACTCTGGGTAAACATTCAGCACCATATGCTGTATATTTGTTTCTTGAATTTATGTTTTGACAATGCATGAAATAAAATATTTCAGATACTTCAGAAAAGCTTTACAGCTTAACCTCAGAAGAGTTCCCAGATTTCAGCAGCCAATCACTGAATATAAGTCAGATTTCCACAGATTTCCTTAAGACCTCACATGTGAGGGGTCCCTGTGGAGTTGAGGAATTGAGGTAAGTTAAGCCTGCAGTTTATTTATTAATATAGTATGTAGTAAAATTTTGACAAGCTCCAACTAGTTATCTTTATTATATATAGAAAGATTGTCCTCATGTGTATACTTTATATGATCATTCTTTATAGAATGTTTGGGTCCTTTGCTGATCTATTATCGAGATTTAGTAAAAGGCTTATAAAGTTGTTACTTTAATGTGAAGAGATCATTCTCTACTGTACAATATGTATCATAAAAATGAAAAGATATTTGGAATATAATAATCCTTCAGCATTTCTTATTATATTGAAAATCAATGGCCTTATTTGAATTAATTAACCTAATAAATGTCAATACTTTGTATTAATAGAATCCTACCCAATGTGAATAAGGTTTTTAGAATCAAATAGTAAGTTTCTTTCTTGAAATCAAGCCTAGAAAATTAACAATAACATATTTTAATTTGTATGATATCATTCTTTCCTCACATAAAATACATTTAGGGATGGTCAGATCAGCTTACAAGGAATGTAGGTTATACTAGTAAATGTTTCAGAAAAGTAGTCTATTGTTTCAGTCTATTATTGACACACTGCAATTCCTTGAAGAAGGAGCAGGATTTCTTCTAGAAAGACTAAAATAAGTATAAAATAAGTTATTTGTATTGTAAATTTCTTTGATTGAAATTTAATTGAAATCTGATACTGCAGTAAAAAGGGAATCAGGAGTTTCTTATTCTTTCTGGAAGAGGAAATCATTGAGTTGTTGTTCTTGGTTTTTACATTTCTTTCTCTTGTAAAAAAATTTTTTAAGACAGGGTATCAACATGTTGCCTAGGTAGGTCTGAAACTCCTGGGCTCAGGCTATCCTGCTTCAGCCACTTAAACAGCTGGGACTACTCAGGCCACTGCACTCAGCCTGGATTTTTGCATTTCTATTATCATTTATATTTGTTTAAAGGATCAATGTAAGATTGATATTTTCTTCCCTTAGATAAATCATTAAAAACAAACTACACCTACAAGTATTCTCATCATTCATAAAACAAATGACATTCAATACTAAAAATATAAGGGGACCTTACTAACAGAATAAGGTGCCCCCTGCTGCCACCAATAAAATGCAACAAAATAAAATAACAAACAAATGCCGTCATTAATTTTTGCTTCAGCATATCTTGACTGGCTATCTACATAGTCCTAATTTACAGTATACAAAAGAGATGATTTATCTGGCAGTCTATTCACTGGGATTCTATTAAACAGCCAATGTGATGATGAATGTTCTTAATGATGACCCTGAGGCTCTGCAGGTTTCTAAAGTGCCTCTGAATCATCAACAAAAGACACAATCAGAGACCATAAAGTCTCTCCTTGATTCTACTGTGGCTGTATTTCTTGGGAGAGGGAGAATGATGAGAATTTCTCATTAAAAGGAGGCTTGGTATATTGGGCACATTGAAAATTATGGCCCCAGTCTGATACAGCTCCCTCACATCTGCTTGCCTCCAGCAACTCCAACATATGTAGTATTGATCAGAAGATAAATGAAGAGTTGAAACCCGGTTCTGTATATTGTGTATTGATCTTGTTATGTATTTTCAGCTGTTCTGGAAGAGATACCAAAATTCAGTCTTTGCTGTCACTTTCTGAGAGCAGTACAGATGAGGAGGAGGAAGATTTTCTCAACAAGCAACATGTCATCACACTACCGTGGTCAAAGAGTACTTAAAGATTATTTGTTCATTACTGTTTCCATTTTGTACCCAGAGTAAAGCAAACAACTGAGAAAAGTAACCAAGTGATTACCTATCCAAGTGCTGGAGATTTTGATTACTAATGTCTTTGATGTTTCAAGGCTACAAACTAATAAAAGTAAAATTATAAGTTCAAGGGCTTATTCTTCCAATGATATATTATATGTCAACCACTAATCTATATTGCAGATTATGTTAGTAAAATATGGTGAATTTGAAGAAATAACTGTTACAACTGTGTCTATAAAACCTACTATAGGGCAGAACATGATTATACTTAAAGAAATATTTCATCGTCCAATTATATTTTAAATAATTATGTCATCAACAAGAGTGTGCATTTGACAGCCAAGTCACACTAGTTAGTATCATCAATTGAACCTATAATTACACTGTTTATTTTCTGGTTTTTAACATTTATAGAAGTTCTGGTATCTTCAAAAATTTGCAATAAAAGAAAAAAAGAGGACCAAAAATAAAATGGGTGTGAAACTTTTCATACTCTGCTCTAGCAAAACACAGTAAAGACCTCTAAGCATCTTTTTTTAAGAAGGTCAATGTAGTGATTAGCTTTATGTGAAAATGTGACTGGTCTACAATACCCAAATGATATGGGTTGGCTCTGTCCCCACCCAGATCTCATCTTGAATTGTAGTTTCTATAATCTCCAGGTGTCCTGGGAGGGACCTGGTGGGAAGTAATTGAATCATGGGGGCAGTTACCCCTATGCTGCTGTTCTCGTGATAATGAGTTCTCATGTGATCTGATGGTTTTATAAGGGGCTGTCCCCCCTTTTGCTCAGGACTTCTCTTTGCTGCTCCACTTGAAGAAGAATGTGTTTGCTTCCCCTTTCACCATGATTTCCTGAGGCCTCCCCCACCATGCTGAACTGTGAGTCAATTAAACCTCTGTCCTTTATAAATTACTCAGTCTTGAATATGTCTTTATTAGCAATGTGAGAACAGACTAATACACCATATACTTTGTCAGACCTTATAATTGATTCATGAATAACACAGGGACTTGGGGCACCATCCCTTTGCACAGCCAAAAATCTGTGTATTACTTTTTACTCCCCTCAAATGTAACTAATAGCCTATGGTTGACTGGAAGTCTTACCTATAATATAAATAGTCAACACATATTTTGTATGTTATATGTATTATATACTGTATTCTTACAATAAAGTAAGTCAGAGAAAAGGAAATGTTACTAAGAAAATCATAAGGAGGAGAAAATATATTTAATA
Source organism: Homo sapiens (assembly GCF_000001405.40). Classification (NCBI taxonomy): domain Eukaryota; kingdom Metazoa; phylum Chordata; class Mammalia; order Primates; family Hominidae; genus Homo; species Homo sapiens. The sequence continues at coordinate 167,239,518 of NC_000003.12, read as the reverse complement.
TTCATTATGTAGAAATGGATTATTATAAAATCTTCACCATTGTCTTCATATTGAGCAGGCTGAGAAGGGCGAGAAAAAAAAGGATATGAGTTTTGTGTCTCAGGAGTGACAGAGGCAGAAGAAAATCCATGTATAAGTGGGCCCTCACAGTTCAAACCTATGTTTTTCAAGGGTCAATTATATTCTAGATGTTTCTGTGAGAGTATTTTTTTAGGTTAGATTAACATTTAAATAAGTAGACATTGAGTAAAGCAAATTAGTTTACATAACGTGGGTGGGACTCGTGAAATCAGTTTAAAGGCCTTAAGAAAAATAAAATAGCTGAGGTCCTCCAAGGTAGAGGGAATTCTTTCTTCAGACTGACTTCAGGCTTGAGCTGCAGTATCATATCTTCCCTGGGTCTCCAGCCTGCAGGCCAGCCCTGTGGATTTTGGACTTGCTAATCCCACAATTGCATGAGGCAATTCTTGAAAATCTCTGTTTTTCTATAGATAGATCAACTGATAGATAGGTAGATAGATATATAGATAGATATAGATATATAGATATAGATGTGTATAGACACACATATCTTATTTGTTCTATTTCTCTGGAGAACCCAATACAGCCAGTTTGAAGGACTGTTGTGATAGTCAAAAGAAAGAAGACAAAGGGAAGTATTTTGCTGGTGTTGAGTAGTTGTAGATTTTGATATTGGTGGGAGTCCATGGTTATTTATAATCTTATAAGTCGAGGCTTAAGAAAGAGGAGAAAACATGGGATGATAATTTTGTGGTCATCACTTTGTGACATTTTAGGACAGTTTTCCCTTATGGAGTTTGTTGACTTAACAGAAAAATATCCCTGAAAGTTGGCCACACTCTGACAACAATGTAGCCATGACTCCAGACTCAAACTCTTTTGTCTTCTCTGTGAGTCTTATACAAGACTGATGGTTGTTTAGTGTAAATTTACCTTTGATACTTTTTCTGTGGCATTAATAAACTGTACTAAATTCACACACATCGTCTACTGACAGAATAGAAAATTATGAAGAAGAGACCTATAGCCATTTCCATGTCTTTTAATATAAAAATGCATCCTATTGAAACTGATTAACAAACGTGGACAATAAGCAATCAAGAAAGCAAGTAATATTATCAGAATAAAATGTTGCAAAAGATATAATTTTTAAAAGAGTATGACTCCTCCACAATTATTACTGCCCTCTTAACATGTCCTCTGTCACAATCCCATAGACAGACAACAGTGAGTCACCAATGAATCTTCATCATTTGTGTCCAAAGCCCTTTTGGCATCTTGTCCTGACACTACTGGCTTTCTGAATTTTAGTATCTATAGTTAAAATGAGCATTACTGTTCGTCTTTTAACATAGAAAAATATATGTACATATTTTAGCATATCTGCTCAGGTTTAAGGTTTCATGACTCTTTCTACCCTCCTTTGCTCTAAGACATCTTCCTTTTCCCTTGTGATGAAGAAACAAATTGTTCCTCTGGGTTTGATTTATACCAGTGCTTCTCTCAGATAAAAGGAATATGGTGTTGTCCTATTCTTGTTAGGGAAGGATTGGACCACTACTGTTTTCTCTTGTGTATTCAGCCATAGCTTGAGTCTTTTGTGAACTAGCTCAGAAGATCATTTTATATGATGCTGCTACCTTTTACAATATAAGAATTTTGAAATAAATATTAAGCTGATAATTAATTGTCATCAGTACATCTCTGGCCAAATCTGAGATAAAAAAATTGTCATTTGACTTCCAATATACATTGAAATTAAACATGAGGTTCCTCTGTGGCAGCGTAGACTAGGCCCCCTTCTGCTTTTATTTGCTTCCAATAACCACTCATATAGAAAGTTCTTTAATTCCATTGCCATTAGTCTAATGAGGAAATAAAAACTAAGTAAAATTAGAGCCTTTGCCTGAAGCAGCTTCAATGTGTTCTCTCATTTTAAAGCTCATGCTTAAAATTGCTGCTACGGACCTGGTTCTAACTATGGAACTGAGAGAGTTACAGATATTCCACAAGAACCTCAGCCATATTACTAATAGTGGAGTCAGTACAGTGCGCCTTTAACCACTATTGGATAAATGACCACCTGATTTTACATGCTTGTTGAAATTCGTAGTTTATACCCAGACTTGTGTAGTGCTGTAATAGTCATATGAAATTCTATAATTTTACAGCCTCTGGACATGCACATGCTGCAGACAAATTAACATTAAATTTTATTTAATAGTTTTAGTATTTTTTATATTCATTGAAGTAATTCATATCTAGTGTACGCTGAGTATGTCACATAACACAGGCCAGTGGTATCTGTTACCTTTAAGATCACTTAATGCTGGGCATTATATGTGAGGTGCATAGAAAATATTTCTTGAAAAAAATAAATGTTATGAAATGGCTTCTCAGCTATTTTAAATAATATCTTGATTCAGAAAAAAGCAATTCTCTCTGTCCCTTTATTCAGTTTTTGAAAAGATCTTGAGCAATGCTCATCTTATCCTTGTTTTGGCACATGCTATTTCTCATCTCTTAAGTCTCAAAATGTATCTTCTCAAAGAGCATTTATCTAATCTCTATCCAAATTAATTCCTTTTGCCCCTTTTTTCTTCATTGTTTCTCGTTGCATCCTGCCTTTTGCTTCATAAAACTTATAATTATTAATGTACAAATGTGATTTTTGAAGATATGCCTCTTAACTAGACTATACATTTCAACAGAGTATAGATCATGTTCCATATTGATTGTCACAGAACTCAGCCTCCAGCAGATGCCTCGCTCAGAATGGGATGTCATTAGTAGGGGAATGAATAAATAAGTGAACATGCAGGATCCAATTTAGAAGCCCTGTCGGTCCCTACATTTTCCCAAAGGAAGATGATATATGTAGTGAGAAAAACAGGGTATATATTCACATTATCAGATTACACTACTTACTAACTGGAAAGTGACTAATATGAATGTATTTCTTAATTATAAAATGGAGAAAAAGATACTGACTTTCCTTAGCTCAAAGGAACGTTGTTGAAAATCAAATGAAGTAATGAATTCAAAAACACTTTTGCAACTGGAAAGTGCTTTGCTATGCTTATTATCATCACTTTTTATGAGCTTATGCTGTAATCTTTGAATATACAGGCAAACTAATGTTGGATAAATAAATGAATTTAGGTGCAAGTTGACATAAGTGATCCACAAAAATCATTCAATATCAAAAGTACAGAATGCTTGCAGTGAGATGGATAATTAGATTGAATGATGTAAAAAGCCAGTGTTTATGTTAAAAGCTAGATATATAAATTAATTTTTAAAAAATATTTCTGAAACATCCCATCTGTTTATAGCTTTCTTCTATTCTGTGTAAATTCAAAGCTGTTTTAAATACTAAAATTTTACCAGAATTTTATGAACACCTTGTGCATCATTCTTTCAGACAGGAGAAATTTTAAAAACGTATATACTATTTATGCCTCCTAAAATACGTTATTATAGGATATTCTGTTTCATCATAATTTTCACCCCCGGTTATTTATTACTAGCCACATTTGCATGAAAACAATGTTTATTTCCTCAGAGTTCATCTGTGCCTGTAGTTTATCCCCTACCTAAAGACATAATTCTTTGTTAGTGACACCATGATTGTTTGTTGAGTAAATGATTATGATGTTGCAAACAGGATTATGAGTTTAGCTGGGGAATAACCGGCAGCATAGATGAACTCTAAAGAAATAAAGATCCTCCTATTTTAATGCAAATGTCTACTATAGTTAAGCAAAAGGAGATGATATTTTTAATGTTCTCCATAAGGTGACAGTTATGTTTAAAATGAAAAGAATTAATTGATTGATGGGGTTTATTTCTTCAAATGTATAGTAACAGTTATGAAAACATAGTTCTGAAAGGCTATCTATATGCTCTTCTGCCAGAAGGAATCAATATGTGTATTGCTTTCTATCCAGAAGAATATATATATATATATTCACATTTTTATCCAGAGAAATTATATATATCTACACATTCTAGTTACAAATGCTTTTAAAGATTTCCAGGGGGAAAATAGACTTCATCCATATTTTATAATTAATTAAACCTTATATACTTAAATATGAAATAAGTCTTTTAAACTGTTATATAATTTCACATTTTTTTACATAGTCAAATTTTTATAGGATAACATTTTGTTGTTATTCATTCTAGTGATGAATATTCTTAAGCAGCTTCTGGAGGTGCAAGCAGGAAATGAGCAGATGCACATTTTATTTTAAAGATATTTATCATGTTTACTTTCTCCTCTGACTTTCTATGTCATAGCCCTATAAGAATACCTTGTAGGTTAGGCTACTGGATAAGTTAGGATTTGTTTTGTTTTAATTGTGTATTCCAAGAAACACTAAAGAGCAGTGAAATTTACAAAGTATATTTCTCTGGTAAGGAAGTTAAGTCTGGTAGTAGACAGTCATGGACTACTACAGCAGCTACATCTTACTATGTTATTTCAACCTTCAAGATTACCTCACTGTAAATTTGTTTTGTTGGTTATTTTTTAGCCGTCACGATGAGTTCCAGGCATCAAGAAGGAAGAAGTGGGAAGAGTAAAATGGATGTCTCCTAGCTGAGGTAGCTTTCTTTAAACAACACTTCTTGCATCTTATTGGCTAGAATTTAGCTATGTCTAGATGCAAGGGAATTTGAAAATGTGGTTGATTAAGTGGACACATTGGCTCTTAGAATAAAATTGGGGTTTTATTCCTAGAGAAGATGAGGAAAGTGGATACTGAAGGCAACTGGCATCTTTGTCACAGTCTCTACTGTTATCTTTATTACTGATCAATAGCTACTTGTTTCCAGTATACAAGAATTTTCCATTAATGTGGTTTGAATTATGTGGTAAAACCAATTCTTTTGAGATTTAAATAAGTCACATTTAAGGGACGCTATTATACTTAAATCACCCAGTTTCTTATATAATCAATTCCTCTTTTTTAGTCTTTTTATGTCTTTACAAAAGCATCTTTTAGTTATACAAACAGAGACCTCCTCATTATTCAGCTTCAAGTTTTCACCTTAGGATTTCTCAAAACACATTCCACATCTCTTTAAAATTCAGTCTTTGGGCTAAGGCCCAAATCCAATCTGCTTTTGCAAAGATTTTCAATGCACTGTGTAAAAAAATGGTATGATACAATATATTTATTTCAAATGAGTGTTCCAATATTAGGGTATTTTGTAACCTGTGATGGAAATTTTCACAAAAATACATAGAGAACAAATATAAAATAATACATTTTAAAGGAATGTTAAATATTAGTACAGTAGAGCCAGGAATTACAGATGGTCTCAGAGATAAAGCCTCACTATTCTGTTCCCGTAAAGCAGTATTTAAATCTTTTAAACTCCGTGTGTAAAATGAGAGATTAATTGCTTTCCAACTGAATTCTAGGGACACTTAGGGTTTCCTGATTAGGGAAAGGAGTATGAAGAAAGACTGAATTGCTGAACAAAAGCATGAATGTCTGGGTATATTTTATATAAAGGGATTCTTTATAAGACAGAAGAAAGAATTCTACCATAACAGTTTGAGATCTGTGGCCTAAAGCCCTAGGAAGTCTCTGGGCCCCCTTCTCAGGCTGTTATCCTGGAATTTATGTTGTCACAGGATTGTTGAGATATGTGATTGGATATACATCCTTTTGCTATAAAACCAGACTCCAGAGAGCCACACAGAGAAGATAACCTTTTCACAATTCATTGAAACTATTCCAAGAAATAACCCAAATTTAGATAGCTGTCTATATTTCTAACTGACTTCTATTTAGATATTTGTTTCTTCAAGTAGAGATACCCACTCAAGATACTTAAAGGGGGGTTATGGTAGTGAGAAGTAAAATTGTGTAGAAATCTCAGAAGAGGAACCATGGAAGAGCTGGCCTCAAGGGGAAATAACAGTTTCTGGGACCTGGGACAGCTTTTAAGGATGGCCATTGATGATCATGGGTGCTTTTCTTGGCTCACTGGCTCTATTTCTTTCTCCACTAGCTGGCTTCTTATGCTCATTTCTACCTTTTGTTCACTCCTGGGCCATTCATCTGGGTTCATTCAGGTCTCTAACTCTATCTCAGAGCCTTCCTCTCAGCTTTACTCTGACAGATATTTAAGTCCCTTGAGTTTGTTTTTTAATTGTATATTTAACTCTAGAAGCTAGATTGTTCTAGTTCATGTTTTTGAGCCAGGCAACATGGTAGCCTAAGGAGGGCCCAGAGTTGGTTCAGTTCCAAACAATTGTTGCCAGGCCATGGTGAGGGAAAGGGGAAGAGAGAAGGATGGGTAATTTGTGTTATTGAAACATGGCCTCAGCAGGCCCAGGGTTATGACTTAAGGCAGTTTTTAATATTGCAGTGGGTCTGGTATGCCATAGGCTTCTCTGAAAGATTCTCAGGGAAGGGACTCAAAGGGAGGTTTATAGGGCAGAGTGCTAAGCCTTAAGGTGGATGTGAGGAAAGGGACATTAAGGAAAAAGATTATTAAAGGCTTTTATTTTATAAAAGGGGAAAGGTGACAATTCAGGACCACTCTGGCTCTATGGTAACCATTCAGGTCATACCTCTAGTCCCAAACCAGCATCAACCCAACAGGGAGGTGTTCTCACCAGACCTCTTCAAGGCCATTCTTTCACGTGTAATTTGAGTGTAATTCTCACTTTCTCCTCAAAGAGCCATTGGTGGACATGAATAGCCTGGAGCTTTATTCTGATTTTGTTCTCTAAGTTATCATCATAAACACTTCTTAATTTCCAAGGACTGGTCTATTTAACAAGCTCTGAAGTGAAATTTTACACCTAATTCCCCTCTAGGCAAAGCATTCTATGAGAGTCCTAAGAGACTTCCAGAAGTGGCATTACAGATGTGGCAGGTGCTTTTTCTCAACTTGTCTGACATCCAGGGCCAGATGATTCTGATGGGAACTCAAGTCTGTCTCACACAAATTCCCCTTTATTGGCTCTTGAAATGGACCCATTTTCTTCTTTATGGAGGAGGAACTAAATCCAACAGATGGTTGTGATTAAAATAAGTGATAATGATAATAGAACTTTTACCAAGGATGTGCCTCTTCCTGCTATCAGATAGATGCCAAGGTGAAAACGAGCCATTTATCTGCAAATAAACATTGCACTAGGAGTAAATGGTTTATTTTCCAAGTTGGAAACAATTATTCTTTGACAGCATCGCTCTCCTCTTAAGATTTTAGGTTTATTATAACATCATTAAAAACACATTTACTTGGTATTAGTGAAACACAGTTCATTGCACTGTTATGTAAAAGACAGTTTTGACATAAAGTTAATAAAAAAGCAGTCTCAATTTTAATTTTTCATATTTCTAAAAAGTATGTCCCATCTTTTCATGAATTAAAGTATCTGATTCACTGAGACTTCTTTGAGTAAATGGAATTTTATTTTCTTTCTCTACAAACAAGAATGATAGACTACAATCATATCAAATGGCCAATTTTTCATTGTATAGTATTTTCTTCTCTGGAAAGTAGAAGTAAAAATGATTCACTTTCTGATTAGATTTAGAAAAATTATTCTATTTCATTCTATACCGGTCAATATAAATGCTACCTTAGAAGAATGAAAGTGTATTTCCATTTTCTTTATGGAATTCCAACTGTACAAAGTTTAAATTCAGGTTAAACATCTAATTTCTTGGAATGAATACCTTTTAAAATACCCACCACAGATTTGGGAAAACTTGTTTAAAAAGGAGGCAGAATTCCAATCTCTTGCTTAACCCAAAAAGTCCCTCTTAGTAAAGGGACAGCATACTGTCATGTCTTCCACTGCAAAATAGATTTCTTTGAATAATATCTTTAGCTTTTCCTCTCACAAATATTTTTGCTCCCCTCATTAGTAAAATTTCTCAAAAGAAAGTCTATACACACTTTGATTTTTTTCACTGGCTGTATTCTATTTGACCCATTCAAATTAGGCTCTTGTTCCCACTGTTTGATTGCAATGATCTTGTCAACAATTACCTTCATATTTCTCAGAGGTCATCTTAGTCAGGGTCTCAGCATTATTTAAAGTGGTCGACCAGTCTGTTGTCCTTAAAATTGTGCTTCAAATATTCTTAAGGACACCACGCTCTCATGATTTTGCTTTTATTTCACTGACTGCTCCTTTTCAGTGTTGTCTGAAATTTCTTCTCCTTTTTTACAGCCTCTGACTATTGCTATGCTTAGGGAAGAGTCTTTGTCCTCTTAGAGACTGACAATCTCTCTAGCTGATTCTGTCAAACCTCTAATGTATAATTTCACCTTAAACATCACCACTTAACGCTTAGCTCCAGATTAGTGTACTGACATACCCAAAACAGAATCGTAAATTTTCATTGGCAAACTGGCTTTTCCTTTGGTCTTCTCCATTTTATAATTGACAACACTATTTACCTAATTGCTCAGGCCAAAGACTCTAGGAGTTTCCTTCGAATCCTCTTTTTCTTCACAGGCCCATATACATTTTGCAGTGAGTCTCGTTAACTCTATTTTAAAATACATGCGAAATATTGACTCTTCTAACTGGCTCCACCACTCCCACCTGACCTGATTCATTCTTCTCACACTAATCCAAAATCTCCACTTCATAAAACAGAGTTATCTTTTAAAAATGAAGATAAGATCATATTCCACCATGGTGCAAACTCCTCCACTGGCCTTGCATTACAATGAGAACTAATGCCTACTTTTTCCCAATCGCTTCCAAAGCTCATTTGATCAGGTCACTGCCTAACTCTAGGGCCTCATAACTTGCTCCTCTTTCTTGAGCTCACCCTGCTGTGAGCACCATTGCCTGCTTGCTGTTGTTCGGACTCAAGGTGGTTCTAGCTTCAGGACCTTTACCTTGACTCCCTTCTTTAGCACTCTCCCCCTAGATTCTTGAATGAATGTCCCTTTATATTATTCTTGTCTCATCTTAAATATTTCTCAAAGAAGTCCTTACTGGCCACTGTATATAAAGGAGACATTCACTGTTTCACTCTCTCTTCTTGCATCTTCTTTTTACAATATTACTACAGAAAGTATTTGTTCACCTTTTTACTAGTGCCTTCCATTATTGGAATATGTTTCCTGATGGCATATGTTGTCTCATTAATAACTATGTCACTAGTGGGTGTTTGGCACAGAGAAGGTATTTATTGAATATCAACTTAATAAAGAAATGTTGTTTTTCTTTGCAAAGATTTAGAGAGGGCAGCTGCTAGACAAGGTTTTCTATAGTAACTTCCATATCATATGTTGAGCACCTACAATATGTTGTAAGCATTTCTCATGTGCCTCACAATAATTTCATATAGTAGATACTGTTTATTAGTCCCCATTTTACATATGAGAAAACTGAGGCACCAAATGCTTAAATAATATGCCCAAGGTTAGTGAGCAGTAAGTGGGGATGCTGCATTACAAATATAGGCATTCAAATTCCAGATTTCATACTTGCCAACATAAGCAATAATTTCCACTTCAATGAATGTTTAAAAGATAGCTTACTATTGATTTGTAGAAAAGATATAAACTTTAGTTGCTTGAACTGAACTTAGGGTTTTCTTCATAAAATTTCTGAATATGGCCTTATTACAGGTGAGTTATGGTTTAATTCTTTAAAATATGTTTCCTTGAAAAACATTGTTTAAATACATCTTCTGCATTGTCCTCAACCCAGTAGATATTCAATAAGTCTTGATTGAATAAAATATCAAAAGCAAAACCTAAGCATGAGGTAATTTTTATACTCTTATTATTACAGTGGTCATTTTTCTTCCAGAGGTAGAAGATGTAATTTTGTTGATGGATGGGAGGTGGCAGTAAGAAAGCTAAAGCCAGCATGGGGCCTTTCTGTCCTTGACTGTAGGCTCAGATAGCACTTGGATCATCATATTTCCGAAGTATGCCTACTCACAAAATAATTCTGTGAGATACTTTATTTATATCAATAGTCAGTGTCATCCACCTAATAAACATTTTCGACAATTCATTATGTGTTAGGCCCTGAGGCAGACTTTGGGGCATAAATGAATAAAATATGAATTCTGCCTCAAGCAATTTATGGTCTGATAGAGACAATAGAGACAAAAATAATTGCACTAATAAATGCAGATTGACCTCATCTCTGTGAGATTTGTATTAAGGAAAACTTCACAGAAGAAGTGACGTTTAATTCGGGTCTTAAGAATGAGTTAAATTTTGTCCTCTCAATTGGGAGAGATGGGTGGGGAATGAAAATCACTCCTGACAAAACTTACGTAGCAGAAATAGCTCAAATGAAGAGGGCATCCATTGTCTTTGGGGGCTTCTCATTAATAAGTTCATTGATGATCATTTAGTTTTATGATTAGGCAATTTGTAAACTGAAGACGAAAGATACTGAATTCATGCACAATCCACTTGCTAAGTTTATCTTAAGGTTTGCCATCAGGGATTAGCAGATCCTTCTAACCTCTAGGGATTTACCATTCTGTTCTATAGGAGCAGGAAGCAACATAGTCTATTTTTTCAAGTTGTACATTAGATAGTGGTAACAGGGTGGAAAAAGAGCAAGCGAGAGTTCCACTCATTCGTGGGAGCAAGCTGAAGCCAGCCCCATGTTGTTCAAACAATGATGAACTTCTTCACCTTCTCAAATTCCTGGAAAAACAATCATGAGGAACTCACAGCAAAATGAATGATGGGGTCATGGGCTGTCTTTCTTTTTGATATTTTGGAAGATAGGAAGGATTATCTAAACTGTTTCAGAAATATTTAACTACTGTATTGTCAAATGCAGCTTAGAATTCAACACAGATAAATACTTTATGTCAATGCTTTTCGAACTACACAAAGGATTAGTGGTTCCAAGAAGCCCCCTAGGAGTGGAGGGCATCAGGGAATGCAAACGCATTGTGGGACCACAACTATTCAAGTTTTGGTCACAGAAACTACTTCTATGTCTTCCCTGTCATTCTTTTGTGTGAGATTTTGTCCATCAAAGATATTTCGTCTGAAATGTTTAAATAGCACTGTTCTAAGTCCACTATAATGAGAAATGAGTCTTTCTTGAGACTGCTATTTTAATTGAGTGGAATACTACCGTGCACATGTTTAGTGCAGCATAATGCACAAATGCAGAAAATGGACTGCAGAGCACTTTGCGGTGGAAAAACTCAGCTTGACTCAGAAGCTGACTCATTGTTCTGATGATGCACTTTTATCAATTTAAGAAACACTTTAACTCTTTGGCCTCTGCTGAAAAGAAATTTAAGAGGAAACACTTTAATATATGAAGTGACTCTACAACCTCTTTTTATCCACTCATAGGAAGCTGAACAAATGAAAGAATTTTTAAGTCTTTTCATTTAAAAATACTCAGTATCAGAGGATTCTTTCTAGTTTTAGAGATCATGTTTGAAGGTATTTTTGGGGTGAAACTGTAGAGATCAAGAGGGCCCAGAATCTAGACCTAAGATATATTCCCTTGAGTGGAACTGGCACTGGGGCTCAGGGAAGGAGTCATTATCCAGCTATACACAAGGAAATTGTTCTAGCCTTACAGACAACACACTGAAAATGATGGTGAGCCCGTGCCTTGTTCCTAATATTCAGGACAGCAAATAAAGTAAGATCAAGGCAGGACTACAGCAAGATAAGATCAGGGGTATGTAGTCATCAAAACAGGGCTCAGAAATAATGGGATACATGTAGGCTTGGTCTGAGAACTGGGTAGAAATCCATTTCTTAGCTTGAGGTCTTTGGAATATTGGGAAAAGTGGTCCCTGAAGAACTTTCAGGGGGTTTGTGAATCCTGTAAAATTGTAAACTTGTATAATTTTGTACTGTGGAAAGAGGCCATGCCTTTCTTCAGAGTTTAAAAGGTGACCACGTATGAAAATGTTTCAAAATTTTTTTTATGAAACTAAAGGTTAGATTTGAGTAAGACCAAGATGGACTTGATGCTGAGATATCTGAATAGCAAATTTGCTTCCCAAGGAAGGATAAGAGAGACCCAGAATGTATGCAAGAATCAGCCTACCAGTAGAGTTAGCTGGCTCCTGCTTTGGGGACGGGTAGAGGAAATCAGGTAAAATATAATGCTTTGTCCTTCCTAAAGGCTTCTCTTATTCAGAATTAGGTAAATTTGTAAGAAGTTTTACACCCAGACTTACTAATGGGGTATCTGGATGCTTCTTTTCCACTAAACACCATCTATAATAGTCTAGGACTTGGATTCATTCCTGTGTTCATCAAATGCTTATTTAGCACCTACATTGTACTAGACTCTGCGTAGGAATATGGTAGTTTCTAGCTCTTATGAAACATACATTCTAGTAAAATTTTCTGAGTATAAAGAATATAATAAGTATTTATAGATTGTAGTTAGAGATACTAAAGAAATAAGCTGGCTTCTGAGATTGCATTAGTTAGGACACACTGGGTGATGTTAAAATTGTAAACATCTTCCTGCAATTTGTGGATAGATACAACTCATATCATATATCCATTGTTGCCTGATTGGGGCTTCCACACTGGCATCACACAAAGATACAGGCTGATGAAATCTCTTCCACCTGTAACATTATTAGTTATTACGCATAGGGAAAGAGAATAAGGCAAGTACATACTCTCTAAACTTCTGACAAGAAGTGGCATGCCACTTCCATTCATATTTCTTTGGTTAAGTAAAGACACATGATGGTTGGGGAGCTACTAAAGTAGTCATTAGGGAGTAAAGAAAGTTTTCCTTAAAGATGTTGTATTTCAGTTGAGATCTGAAGCATGAGAAAAGACTACATGAAAAAGATAATCAGATGAGGAGAAAAAAAGCATCTATTCAGAGATAACATTCATGGCCAAGATTGAGCTTGGAATTTTCTAGGAACGTAAGAAGATTGATGTCATCTAAAATCTGTTTCCAACAGATTTTCTATATAGAAAATTTGCGTGGTAAATGCTAGTTCTGCTACAATATTCTTCACAGTGGTAACAATGTTCCATTCCAGGTTTCCTTGGGTTATATGGGTCTCTGGAGAAGAACTTTCTCACAACTCTACAGATTAACTACTCTTTGCTTAATAATAAGGGGAGGGACAGCATGTCATCACTCATTTGTTTCCGAGAGTCTAGAAAAATGCTATCATGGCATTTTACATGCCCATATAATAAAATGGTATTTATGTGGGGGTTACAAAAGACCTATAAATGTATGTTAACTATATGTCTAATTGAAACATGCCCAGTCATACTGGTCTTGCAGAAAGGAATCACACATTGGAGATTTAGGAAGTCTGAAAATCTGGCTCTAACTCTTTTATTATTGTTGTCGATGTTATTATTTTTATCATTATTATCTAACAAGGCTTGATTTCTCTGAGGTTTTTTTTTCTTTTTTTTTTTTTAATCACAGTCACTGCCAGGGCTACTATTTATAGTTGTGCAGTTTGTGCTGGACCAAGGGAATGAGTATGGGCTAAAATCCAGCCTGTACTCTGACAAGCTACATGCCCTCATGAGGGATCTATATCCACCTGAATAGGCTTTTATAACTGAAAGGAACCCTGTGGATAACTAGAACCCTGTGCACCTCAATTCAGGCAACAAGAAAAGCAACTGATCTTAGTAATAAACCACCTCAAAAACTGCACTGTTCCATGAAATCTCCAGTGTGCTCTCTGGATCCTCAACCATCAGAGGAAGATCCCAGGTGATGGAGTACTGTGGTAGCATCGAAAGTTACTCAATTTGCATGAGTTTAAGACTTGCAGAGCACCCCGTTCCCTGATAATACTGGTCCTGACTGAGGCAGTAGTTTGAGTAGGAAGATGCATAGTATATAGAGAAAAGAAAGACAATCCGAGCCCCCGATAGTCAAATCAGTCTTGGTGACTAGTGGGATAGTTATGATCCAAGTCAGATTACTCTTCTATCTATTTAGCACATAATGAGGCTTAGTCACTGTGTTTTCAATGATTGCAAAACAAGTGAGAGCCCATCAGCAAGGGGCTTTTAGGGTCTGGGTATGAGCTGAAAGTAGGCAATGTGTTGGAGCCATCTTATTCTCTGTTAAACTATTTATCCCATGTATAATTTAGGAACCTAGTTGTTATTCCTACCATTCGTGATGATGGTGAAGACAAGATACACTATTTTCTTAAGTGTTTTGCAAAGTGCTCAATACATAGCAAGTATTTTAAAAATTAAGAAATAAGGGTAGGAGCAGTGCAGAGGAAAATAACTCATGGCAGCAGCAGTAAACACGTGTCTAGTGGAAACTCAGTTTTGAGCTGGGGCCTTCTTTCTTTCTGATATTTGGCTAAACTTGGCTTAAACTCCAATCTCACCTTTATGAAATTCCACAGTTTCTCTAACTTGTTGGAATTTACTGCCTTTGTCCTTTCCTTGTGTCTATTCCATATCAACACACACTGCTTCAGTTCCTCCTGCTAAGTTGCAATTGTGGAAGAACCAAAAAGGGTCCTCCTGCAACAAGAAACATTGTGAGGGGTGCCATTTTGTTGAAGCTATTTTTGTGGGGAGGTGATAAAATGTAAATTCTGTGGAGGATATCATTATCTCTGGTGGTAAAAAGAAGGGGATATTAGGCTAGACTGGGAAGAGCTGGAATATGGTGGATGAGAGAGAGAACAGTGGAAAATGGCACTGAAGTTTTAAGTTAAATTGGGAGATAGTACTGCCATTTGCAAGATTTTTTGTAACAATGGACAAACTTCAAAACAAATATTACACATGATTGTATATTTAATTTATGTCATACTATTTTCCAAATATACTTTTGCCAGAGTTAAAACTACCCACTCTCACCATTTTAATGATGATTTTAACTTATTTTGCTATTAACGATGGCATGTTTTCCAAACGTATTTACTTATTAACAGATAAAATTGTACATATTTATTATCTACCATAAAATGTATTGAATATACCTTGTAGATGGACTAAATTTGGCTAATTAACCTGTTTATTACCTCACATAGTTATCATACTGTTTTGAGAACACTTAACATCCATTCTCTTAGCATTTTTCAAGAATATATCATTATTAACTATAGTCACCGTATAGTGACAACAGGAAAAAGAGATTTCCTAAACTTATTCCTCTTATCTAACTGTAATTTTGTATCCCTTGATCAGCATCTCTGTAATGATATATATCATGTTTATAGAAAAATAAAGCCTTTAGAATGCCAGTTTATAAAAAAATACATGGAAGTAAGCACGTATAAATCAATTTATTTATGAGAAGTCTGAAAATAATACAGTAAAATGTCTTTAACTGATATGTATTAGAATGTGATGGCTGGTTAATTCAGAGGCTTACTGGGAAACAAATCTAGCCCTGATATGGGAATAATGGACTGCTAATTGGCATGCAGTTGAGCCTGTTAATATCTTGTTTCCCACCCGCTATGTCCCCTCCTGTTGGCATGTCTGCCAAGCAGATCGACCTGAGCTGTTGGGTAAGGTTAAAGTGCTTCAGGCATTAAAATCTCCAGTCATTTCACTCTCATCTACTGCTAATGTCTTTTTAACATTTAAAAAAGAAAGTAGGAACAATTAACTACCGTAGAGAAATCATTCTGTTTTAATGCTGCACAGTTTATATGTGGAGCAATAAGGACATAAAAATTGAATCTTGGGGCTCGCTAAGAACACCTTTAATAAGAGTACAACATAAAAGCTATGAATTCTTAAGGACTAAAAATATTTGAACCTGGACCAGAAAAAACATAAAATAATGATTTTAAGGCAAAAATTTTGCCTGAATTTCCAAGTTGACTAATCATTTATAAGGGGTTCTTGTTCATTAATCATACTTCCGACAGCAGAGAAACAGTGTTAATGGAAAGTTAAAAGCTAGAATTGACATGAAAGATCAGTTTAACCCAACTCAATGATTTTATAAAGGAAACCTGAGGTCCAGGAAGGTTAAGTGATTTGCCCAAAGTCATAGAGCTAGAGGCAGAGCTAAAACTAAATTTCAGCCTTTAAGACTCTGACACAAAATCCCTCCCAGGATGTTTGACTTATAGTTTTCCAGAATATCTATCCCAACAAAAGTCTAATTGGCTTTTTATTCCTTTATTGAAAGAAACAAAAACATTTTCTTGAAGACCTACTGTGTTTGCAGCACTATGCAGATAATTTTAGATTTAAGAAGAAATAAGACCTTCACTTCAAGGGGCTTAGATAAAAGATGGGTGGGTAATATAATGATTAACTCAAGCAAAAGGCCAGAAATCGGTATGGGGTGAGGACTCTGAGGGGAAGGCCTGACTGGTGGGTGGTCAGGGAAGTCAAGTAGAGTCTCTAATGATAAGTAGGTGACTGACAGGTCAGGAAGATAGAAATCAGGATCTACTGCTGGGCTATGAGACTTTTTTTAATTGATATGAATATTTGTACATATTTATGGGGTACATATGATATTACGTGACATGCATAGAGTGTGTAATGATCAAATCAGTGTATTTGGGTGTCCATCACCTCAACTATTTATCATTTCTATGTGTTGGCAACATTCTAAGTCTTGTAGCTATTTTGAAATATACGACACATTGTTGTTAAATATAGTCATCCTACAGTGCTATAAAACATTGGACTTTATTCTAACTATATGTTGGTACCCGTTACCAATCTCTCTCTATCCCACTAGCCCACCAAAAACACACCCTTGTCAGCCTCTGGTGTCTATCATTCCTTTTCTAAAATTTTTTATGTTTCATTTTTATTATTTTTAAAATTTTAAATTTCTGAGGTTATGTAGTAGGTGTATATATTTATGAGGTACATGAGATATTTTGATACAGGCATACAATGAATAATACATCAGGGTAAATGTATTCATCACCTCAATCATTTCTTCTTCCTCGGTGTTACAAACAATATAATTATATGCCTTTAGTATTTTAAAATGTACAATAAATTGTTGACATAGTCACCCTGCTGTGCTATCAAATACTAGATCTTATTCATCGTAATGTACCTAACTATTTTTTTTGTCCACATTAATCATCTTCCTCCACCCCACCTCCTACCCTCCACTACCCTTCCTGGCTTCTGGTAATCATTGTTCTACTCTCTATCTCCTTAAGTTCAATTGTTTTGATTTTTAGATCTCATAAATAAGTGTGAACATAAGAAGTTTGCCTTTCTGTGCCTGGCTTATTCCAGTTAACATGATGACCTCCAGTTCCATCCATGTTGTTGTAAATGATAGAATCTCATTTTTTTTTTTTTTGGCCAAATAGTACTCCATTATGTATATGTGCCACATTTTCTTTATCTATTCATCTGTTGATGGACACTTAGATAGCTTTCAAATCTTGTCTATTGTGAATAGTGCTTCAATTAACATAGAAGTGCAGCTATCTCTTGAATATACTGATTTCCTTTCTTTTAGGTATATACCCAGCAGTGGGATTGCTGGATCATATTTTTAGTGTTTTGAGGAACCTCCAAACTGTTCTCCATAGTGGTTGTACTAATTTACATCCTCACCAACAACATATGAAGGTTCCCTTTTCTCCACATCCCCACCAGCCTTTGTTATTGCCTGTCTTTTGGATAAAAACCATTTTAATTGGGGTGAGATGGTATTTCATTGTAGTTTTGATTTGTATTTCTCTGATAATCAGTGATTTTGAACATCTTTTTACATAACTTTTTGCCATATGTATGTCTTCTTTTGAAAAATGTCTATTCGGATCTTTTGCCCATTTTTAATTTTAGGTTGGCTTTTTACTTTATTGATTGTTTCCTCTTCTGTGCGAAGCTTTTTAAATTGATGTGATCCCATTTGTCAATTTTTCCTTTCATTGCTGGTGCTTGTGGGGTGTTACTCAAGAAATCTTTGCCAGTACAATGTCCTAGAGAGTTTTCAAAATCTCTAATTGTAGTAGTTTCATGTTTTGAGGTCTTAGATTTAAGTCTTTATTTCATTTTGATTTGATTTTCATAGTCAACAAGAGATAGGAGTCTAATTTCATTCTTCTGTATATGGATATTCAGTTTGCCCAGCACCATTTATTGAAGAGACTGCCCTTTTCCCCATGTATGTTCTTGATGCCTTTGTCAAAAAATGAGTTCATTCTAGATGTACAGATTTGTTTCTGAGTCCTCTTTTCCATTCCATTGGTCTATGTGTCTGTTTCTATGCCATTACCATGCTGTTTTTTGTTACTACAGCTCTGTAGTATAACTTGAAATCAAGTAATGTGATTCCTCCAGTTTTGTTCTTTTAACAATTTTAGGATCATTTTTCTATTTCTGTGAAAAATGTCTTGGTATTTTGATAAGAATTATATTTAATCTGTAGATTGCTTTACATAGTATGAACATAGTAACAATATTGATTCTTTTAATCCATGAACATAAAATATCTTTCTATTTTTTTGTGTTCTTTTCCATTTCTTTCACCAGTATTTTATAGTTTTCATTGTGGAAACCTTTCACTTCTTTGGTTAAGTTAATTCCTAGGTATTTTATTCATAGCTATTGTAAATAGCATTACTTTCTTGATTTCTTTTTCAGATTGTTCATTGTTGGCATACAGAAATGCTATTGATTTTTGTATGTTGACTTTGTATTCTAAATGTGTTTATCAGTTCTAACAGTTTTTTGGTGGTCTTTAGACTTTTCCAAATTTAAGATGATATTATATGAAAACAAGGGCAATTTGACTTCTTCCTTTGCAATTTGAATGCCCTTTATTTCTTTCTCTTTTCTAATTGCTCTAGCTAGGACTTCTAGTACTATGTTTATTAAGAGTGGTGAAAGTGGGCATTTTTGTTATGTTCCAGATCTTAGAGGAAAGGTTTTCCTCATTCAGTATAGATACCAGCTGTGAGTCTGTCGTAGATGGCTTTTATTGTGTTGAGATATGCTCCCTCTATACCTAACTTTTTGAGGGTTTTCATCATAATGGGATGTTGAATTTTATCCAATGCTTTTTCAGCATCAGTTGAAGTGATCATATGGTTTTTGTCCTTCATTCTGTTTATGTGATGTATCACATTGATGAATTTGTGTACGTTGAACCATTGTTGCATTTCTGCAATACATCCCACTTAGTCTTGAAAAATGATCTTTTTAATGTGTTGTTAAGTTTAGTTTGTTAGTATTTTGTTGAGGATTTTTGCATCGATGTTCATCAGAGAAACTGGCCTGTAGTTTTCTTTTTTTGATGTGTCTTCGTCTGATTTTGGTGTTATGGCAAAACTGGCCTCCTAGAGTAAGTGTGAAAGTGTTCCTTCCTTCTCTATTTTACAGAATTGTTTGAGCAGAATTGGTATTCATTCTTATTTAAATGTTTGGTAAAATTCAGCAGTGAAGCTATTGTGTCCTGGGCTCTTCTTTTTATTACAACTTCGAACTCATTACTTATTATTGGTCTGTTCCGGTTTTGGATTTTTTCATGGCTCAATCTTGGTAGGTTGAATGTGTCTAGAAATTTATCCAATTCTTCTGTGTTTTTCAATTTATTGGCACATTGTTCCTCATAGTAGCCTCTAATAATTCTTGGAATTTCTGCAGTATCGGCTGTAATGTTACTTTTTCATTTCTGATTTCATTTATTTGGGTCTTTCCTTTAGTTAGTCTGGATAAAGGTTTATTGATTTTGTTTACCTTTTAATAAACAATTTTTCATTCATTGATCTTTTGTAGTTTTTTAAATCCAGTTTCATTTATTTCCTCTCTAATCATTATTATTTATTTTCTTCTACTAATTGTGGGTTTAGTTTGTGCTTGCTTTTCTAGTTCTTCAAGTTGCATCATTACGTTGTTTTTACTTTTATGATGTAGACACTTATAGCTATAAACTTTCCTGTTAGTACTGCCTTTGCTGTATCTAATATGTTTTTGTATGTTTTCTTTCTATTTTAATTTGTTTCAAGACATTTTAAAATTTCTTTATTTCTTCATTGACCTACTAGTAATTAAGGAACATATCATTTAATTTCCATGTGTTTGTGTAGTTTCCAAAATTCCTCTTGTTATTGATTTATAGTTTTATTCCATCATGGTTAGAGAAGATACTTGATATAATTTCAGTTTTTTTGAACTTTTAAAGACTTGTTTTGTGACCTACCTTATGATCTATCCTTGAAAATAATTTATGTGGTAGTAGAATCTGTATTCTGTATGTAACCTTTGGATAAAGTGTTCCGTAAATATCTATTAGATCCATTTGGTGTATAATGCAGATTAAGTCCATTTTTTTGTGGATTTCCTGTCTGGATTATCTGTGTAATGCTGAAAGTGGGGTGTTGAAGTCTCCAGGTATTATTGTATTGGGGTCTATTTCTCTGTTTAGCTCTAATATTTGTTTTGTATATCCAGGTGCTCCAGTGTTGTGAACATATTAAACTTGTTATATCCTCTTGCTGTATTGACCCCTTCATCATTATATAATGACCACCTCTGTCTCTGTCTCTCTTTTACAGTTTTTGTTTTGAAATCTATTTTTTTTTTGATACAAGTATAGCTACTCCTTTTCTTTTTGGTTTCTGTTTGTATGTAATATCTTTCTCCATACGTTGATTTTTCAGTCTATGTGTGTCTTTACAGAGGAAGTGTGTTTCTTGTAGGCAAAAGATTATTCAGTTTTGTTGTTATATTCATTCAGCTATTCCATGTCTTTTGATTGGAGAGCTTAGTCCATTTATATGCAATCTTATCAGTGGTAATTGAGAACTTAATCTTGCCATTTAGTTATTTGTGTTCTGGTTGTTTTGTGGTCTTCTTTTTATTCTTTTCTCTCACTCTCTTTTTTTTAGTGAAGATGATTTTCTCTGGTGATATGCTTTACTTTCTTGCTTTTTATTTTTTTGTGTATCTGTTGTATTTTTTATTTGAGGTTACCAAGAGGCTTGCAAATAATATCTTATAACCCATTATTTTAAACTGATGACGACTTAAGAGTGATTGCGTAAACAAACAAGCAAAAAGAAAACCAGTAAAAACTTTACACTTTAAGGCAATTCCCTGGCATTTTAACTTATTGTTGTTTCTATTAATATTTTTTATTGTACTATGTCTTGAAAGGTTGTATTTATTATTTTTGATTAGTTGATTTTTTAATTGTTCTACTGAAGATATGATTAATTTATACAACCCAATTACAGTGTTATAATATTCTATGTTTTTCTGTGTACTTACTCTTACCAGTGAGTTTTCACTTTCAGATGATTTTTTAAATTATTATTTTATGTTTGGGAGTTCATGTGAAGGTTTGTTACATAGATAAACACATGTCATGGGGGTTTGTTGTACATATTATTACATCACCCAGGTATTAAGCTCAGCACTCAATAGTTATATTTTCTGCTCCTTTCCCTCCTCCCACCCTCTCACTTCAAGAAGACACCTTTGTGTTCATAAGTTCTTATCATCTAGCTCCCACTTGAAAGTGAGAAAGGGGCCGGGTGTGGTGGCTCATGCCTGTAATCCCAGCACTTTGGGAGGCCAAGGTGGGCAGATCACAAGGTCAAGAGATTGAGACCATCCTGGCTAACTGCACTCCAGCCTGGGCGACAGAGCGAGACTCTATCTCAAAAAAAAAAAAAAAAATAGTGAGAACATGCGACATTTGGTTTTCTGTTCCTGCATTAGTTTGTTAAAGATGTTAGGCTCCAGCTCCATCCATGTTCTCACCAAAGACATGATCTCGTTCTTTTTATGGCTACATAATATTCCATGGTGTATATGTACCACATTTTTTAAATCCACTGTGACATCGATGGGCATTTAGGTTGATTTTATGTCTTTGCTATTGTGAATAGTGCTGCAATGAACATTCACGTGCATGTGTGTTTATGGTATAATGCTTTATATTCCTCTGGGTATATGTCCAGTAATGGGATTGCTGGGTTGAATGGTAGTTCTGCTTTTTGCTCTTAGAGGAATCACTATACTTCTTTTCACAAAGATTGAACTAATTTACACTCCTACTGTGTATAAGTGTTCTCTTTCCTCTGTAACCTTACCAGCATCTGTTATTTTTTAACTTTTTAGCAATAGACATTCTGACTGATGTGAGATGGTATCTCATTGTGGTTTTGATTTGCATTTCTCTAATGATCAGTGATATTGAACTTTTTTTCATATGATTGTTGGCTTTCATGTATGTCTTCCTTTGAGAAGTGTCTGTTCATGTTCTTTACCCAGTTTTTAATGGGGTTGTTTTACTCTTTTAAATTTAAGTTCCTTATAGATGCTGAATATTAGACCTCTATCAGATGCATAGTTTTCAGAAATTTTCTCCTATTCCATAGGTTGTCTGTTTACTCTGTTGATAGCTTATTTTGCTGTGGAGAAGTTCTTAGGTTTAATTAGATCCCACTTGTCAATTTTTGCTTTTGTTGCAATTGCTTTTGGCATCTTCGTCATGAAACCTTTGCCCATTCTTAGGTCCAGGATTGTGTTACCAAGGTTGTCTTTTAGGATTTTTATAGGTTTTGATTTTACATTTAAGTCTTTAATACATTTTGAGTTGAGTTTTGTACATGATATAAAGAAGGGGTCCAGCTTCAATCTTCTGCATATGGCTAACCAGTTATCCCAGCACCATTTATTGAATAGGGAATATTTTTCCCATTGCTTGTTTTTGTTAGCTTTGTCAAAGATCAGATGATCATAGACGTGCAGCCTTATTTCTGGGTGCTTTATTCTGTTCCGTTGGTCTATATCCCTGTTTCTGTACCAGTACCATGCTATTTTGGTCACTGTAGCCTTGTAGTATAGTTTGAAGTCAGGTAACATGACTTCTCTAACTATTTGTTTTGCTTAGGATTGCCCTGGCTATTCAGGCTCTTTTTTTTGTTCCATATAAATTTTAAAAGAATTTTTTCTAGTTCTGTGAAGAATATTGTTGGTAGCTTGAGAGGAATAGCATTGCATCTGTAAAATGCTTTGGGCAGGATAGCCATTTTAGTACCATTGATTCTTCCTATCAATGAGCATGGTTGTTTTTCCATTTGTGTGTGTCTTCTTTGATTTCTTTGAGTAGTGTTTTGTAATTCTCATTGTAAAGATCTCTCACCTCCCTGGCTAGCTGTATTCTAGATATATTATTTTTGTGGTAATTGTGAATGGGATTGCCTATTTAATTTAGCTCTCAGTTTGGTTGTCGGTGGTGTATAGGAATGCTTGTGATTTTTGTACATTGATTTTGTATTTTGCAACTTAGCTGAAGTTGTTTATCAGGTGAAGGAGCTTTTAGACGAAGACTATGGGGTTTTCTAGATATAGAAGAATCATGTCATATGCAAACAGAGATAGTTTGACTTCCTCTGTTTTTGTTTGGATGCCCTTTCTTTCTCTTGCCTGATTGCTCTGGCTAGAACTTCCAGTATTATGTTGAATAGAAGTGATGAAAGAGGGCATCCTTGTCTTGTACCAGTTTTCAAGGGAAATGCTTCTAGCTTTTCCCCACTCAGTATAATGTTGGCTGTGGGTTTGTCATAGATGACAGATTATTTTGAGGTATGTTTCTTCAATACCTAGTTTATTGAGAGTTTTTAACATGAATCAATGTTGAATTTTGTCAAAACCCTTTTCTGCATGTACTGATATAATCACATGGTTTTTTCCCTTAGTTCTGTTTATGTGGTGAATCATACTTATTGATTTTTGTATGTTGAAACAACATTGCATCCCAGGGATGAAGCCTACTTGATCATGGTAAATTAGCTTTGTGATGCGCTGCTGGATTCAGTTTGCAGGTATTTTGTTGAGGATTTTTGCATCGATGTTCATGAAGAATATTGGCCTGAAGTTTTCTTTTTGTCTTGGGTCTCTGCCAGGGTTTGGTATCAAGATGATGCTGGCCTCACAGAAAGAGTTGGGGAGAAGTCTCTCCTATTCAATTTATTGGAATACTTTCAGTAGGAATGGCACCAGTTCTTCTTTGTACGTGTGGTAGAATTTGAGTGTGAATCCATCAGGTCCTGGGATTTTTTTGGTTGTTAGGCTATTTATTACTATTTCAGTTTTGGAGCTCATTATTGATGTGTTCAGGAAATTAATTTCTTCCTGGCTCAGTCTTGGGAGGGTGTATGTGTCCAGGAATATATCCATAACTTCTACGTTTTCTAGTTTGTGTACATAGAGGTGTTCATAGTAGTTTCTGATGATTGTTTTTATTTCTATGGGGTCAGTAGCAACACACCCTTTGTTATTTCTAATTGTGTTTATTTGGATCTTCTCTCTTTTATTTTTAATTAATCTAGCTAGTGGCCTATTTTACATCTTTAAAAAAAAGCAGTTCCTGGATTTGTTGATCTTTTGAATTACTTTTCATGTCTCAGTTTCCTTCAGTTCTTCTCTGATTTTTGTTATTTCTTGTCTTCTGCTAGCTTTGGGATTGGTTTGGTATTGCATCTCTAATTTTTTCCGTTGCGAAGTTAGGTTGTTAAATTGAGATCTTTCTAAGTTTTTGATGTGGGCATTTAATGGTATGAATTTTCCTCAACACTGTCTCAACTGTGTCCCAGAGATTTTGAAATGTATTTTTGTTCTCATTATTTTTGAAAAACTTTTTTATTTCTGTTTTAATTTTGTCGTTTACTCAAAAGTCATTCAGGAAAATGTTGTTTTACTTTCCACGTAATTGCATGATTTTGAGCAATTTTCTTAGTCTTGACTTCTATTTTTATTGCACTGGTCTGAGATTGTGTTTGCTATGATTTTGGTCCTTTTACATTTGCTGAGGATTTTTTTATGTCCAAGTACGTGTTTGATTTTAGAGTATGTGCCATGTGATGATGAGAAGAATGTGCATTCTGTTATTTCGTGTGGAGAGTTCTGCAGAGGTCAATCAGATCCATTTGTTCTAATGTTGAGTTCAGGTCCTGAACATCTTTGTTAATTTTCTGCCTTGATAATCTGTCTAATACTGTCAGTGAAATATTGAAGTCTCACACTATTATTTATGTGGGAGTCTATTACTCTTTGTAGGTCTCTAAGAACTTGCTTAATGAATCTGGGTGCTCCTATGTTGAGAGCATATGTATTTAAATTAGTTAGGTCTTGTTGAATTGAGACCTTTACCAATATGTGATGTCCTTTGTCTTTTTTTATCTTTGCTGGTTTGAAGTCTGTTTTGTCTGAAATTAGGATAGCAACCCCTGCTTTTTTCTGTTTTCCATTTGCTTGGTTGATTTTTCTCCAACACTTTATTTTTAGCCTATGGGTGTCATTATGTGTAAGATGGGTCTGGGTGCTGCTTTTTTTATTCAGCTTGCCACTCTGTGTCTTTTAAGTGGGGCATTTAGTGCATTTACATTCAAAGTTAATATGTCATTGTGCCCTTAGCTGGTTATTATGTTGGCTTACTTGCGTGGTTGCTTTACAGTGACACTAGTCTGTGTGTTGAAGTGTGGTTTTGTATTAGCTGGTAACCATCTTTTCTTTCTACATTTAGTGCTTCTTTCAAGATCTCTTGTGGAAACAGGTCTTCTGGTAATGAAGTCCCTCAAAATTTGCTTATCTGAAAAGGATCTTATTTCTTCTTCACTTAGGAAACTTAGTTTGGCTGGATATAAGATTCTTGGTTGAAGATTTTTTTTTTCTTTAAGAATATTGATTATAGACCCTCAGTCTCTTCTGGCTTATAAGGTTTCAGCTGAGAGGTCTGCTATTAGCCTGATAGGGAGCCCTTTGTAGGTGACCTGCTTTTTCTTTCTAGCTGCCTTTATAACATTCTTTCATTTCGACCTTGGAAAATCTCATTATGTGTCTTGGGTTGATGTAGAATCTTGCAGGAGTTCACTGTAGTTCCTGAATTTGACTGTTAGCCTCTCTAGCAAAGTTGGGGAAGTTTTCATGGATGATATCCTGAAATATGTTTTTCAAGTTGTTTGTTTTCTCCCCCTCCCTTTCAGGGGTGCCAGTGATTCATAGATATGGTCTCTTTATGAAACCCCATAATTGTTGGAGGTTTTGTTCCTTGCTTTTTATTATTTTTTCTTTATTTTTCTCTGACTTCTTATTTCAGAGAACCAGTCATCAAATTCTGAGATTCTTTCCTCAGCTTGGTTTATTCTGCTGTTAGTACTTGTGATTGCATTGTGAAATTCTTGTATTGTGTTATTCATCTCTATCACACCCCCATTAGGTTCTTTTTCTACAGGCTATTTCCTCCTTCAGCTCTGGTATCACTTTATTGTGATTCTTATTTTCCTCAGATTGGGTTTTGCCATCTTCCTGAATCTCAGTGATCTTTGTTCTTATCCATATTCTGAATTCTATTTCTGTCATTCTAGCCTCTTTGGCCTGGTTAAGAACCATTGTTGAAAAACTTGTGTGATCATTTGTAGGATATATGACACTCTGGCCATTTGAGTTACTGGAGTTCTTGCATTGGTTCTTTCTCATCCCTGTGTGTGGGTTTTCCTTTAACTGCAGTGTAGATTGAGCCCAGTCAATAGACTTATAATCTTGATGTTTTCGCCTGGCTGAGGCTTTGTGTAGGGTCTTTATTTGAAACTGACTTCTTGTCTCTGGTTTCAGAGGGATGGTATGTTGGTGAGATACTTTTGGTGTTGAAGCTTTGGGGTGTGATCCAGCAGGTGACACTTAGGCTTATTGGTCAGGTGGTAGACTCTTGCTCAGTTCTGTGACTCCTCTGTATTTCCTCACAATTGTAGCCATGGTCCCTGTCAGTGCTCTGAAATTGTGGGTTCCTCTTCCCTTTGAGTGCTGGCTGTAGTTCATGACTTGGCACTTCTGGATTGCCCACTGCAGCTCTAGAACAATCTCAGTGTTTATGTTCCTGCCCCAGCTTAGAGGCAGCAGAGGAAGAGATCTTAGTAGTGGTTGTAGCCAAGGGTCATCAGTGCAGTTAGCCCAAGATGAAGGGTTTGTGCTGTGGGTCCACGCCAGGGGTTCCTTGTCTGGTAACAAGCTGTGGGAGTATGTGGGTCCCATGGGAGATGGACTGGCCTCCTCTCCTTGGGTCAACTGCAGCTTGTTGGAGCTGTGGATAAGGCTTAGGGTCTTTGTTCCTTCATTAGTCCCAGGATGGCAAGGGCAGTTCCACTGCAGAGGCAGTGGCAGAGAGGCTTTCAGTTGTTCCTACAGTCTTTGTCCAGGGAGGTGCTGAGTTGGTACTGGCTCAATGGCTCTGGTGGGAGGTGGCTGGAGGCCCAGGCCTGGAAGAACTGCTCGGTGAGAAGATATGGGAATGGACAGTCAGGTAACAGTCTGGCAACTTTTCTGTAGAGCTGCTGTGGTATGCTTGGGACCACCTCCAGTCCTTAGTCACATCGGATTTTCCAGAACTTGAAGGTGTAACCAGTGAAGGCTGCAAAACAGCAAAGATGGCAGCCTGTTTCTTCCCCTGGGAGCTTTGTCCCAGGGAGGGACAGACCTGTTGTTGGCCCAAAGTCACCTGTAGGAAGTGGCTGGATACCCTGGTTTGTAGATCCCACCCAGTGAGGAGGAATGGGATCAGAACCCACTTAAAAAAGCAGTCTGACTACATTTTTATAGTGCAGCTGTGCTGTGCTAGGGGATCCCTTCCACCTCCGGTTGGCTCAGACTCTCCAAAGCCCAAAGGCTGGAATGGCTAACTCACCCATACAACAAAGATGGTGGCCCACTCCTCCCTCTGGGAGAGCCATCCCAGGGGCAGTTCAGATCTCTGTTGGCTGGAGAGTTTGGGTGAGGGTGGCTGGAGGTCCTGGTTTGGAGGTCCTGCCCAGTGAGGAGGAACAGATTAGGCACCTGCTTAAAGTAGCAGTCTGGCCATGTTTTTGTAGACAACTGTGCTGTGCTGGGGGATCCCTTCTGCCCTGGGTCAGTTCAGACTCTCCAAAGCCTGAAGGCTGGAATGGTTCAGGTACCCAAACAGCAAAGATGGCAGCCTTTCCCTCCCCCTGGGAACTCCTTCTTAGGCAGGTGCAATGCCGCTACTGCTAGCTGGCTGGAATTCCAAGCCAGTGGGTCTTATCTTGTGAGGGGCTATGGAAGTGGGGCCTGTAGGCTATTGCTGCTCAGGCCCCTGGATTCAGCTTTTGCCTAGGGGTATGTACAGGAATGTAACCTCCCACTTTGCCAGAGCTGCAGCTACTTTTGCCAGAAAGCCCAAGTATCTGTCTCCAGAATCTCCACACAAGCCTGAGTGGCTGCTCTGCGAAACTCCACGTAGCTCTGTCTGTCAAGCTGAATAAAGACTGAAGGCCCTAGCGAGTGGGTTCACAAGGAGATCTCCTAACCTGAGAGTTGCAATGATCTGCAAGAGAGGTGTGGTTTCCTGGAGGCACTCATTCTCTTACCACTTTCCTGGGCTGGGAAAGATCTCCTGGCTCAATTATGTCTCCAGATGGGCCATTGTCTTGTCTTGTGGGTCAAGTTGTTTCCTCGGTTAATTCCAATGCATATACCTGGATATTTCTGTTGAAGGTGTTCTATTTACTCACCCCTTCTGTTCCTTTCTGTGAGAATCACACACACTAGCTGCTTCTAATTGGCCATCTTGGCCACTCCCCCCAGATGATTTATTATTGCTTATTAACCTCTTTTTTTTTCATACTGATGACTCCCTTTAGCGTTTCTTGTAGGGCAGAGCTGGAGTTGATGAAATCTGTCAGCTTTTGTTTGAGTGGGAAAGTATTTCTCCTTCATATTTGAAGGTTATTTTTATTGAATATAGTATTCTAGTATTCAGCCTTTTCTAGGTTTAGTTTTTATTTCCTTCAGCACTTTAAATATGTCATTTCATTCTCTCCTGGCCTATAAGGTTTACACTGAAAAGTCTTCTGCCAGATGTATTGGAGCTCCATTGTATTTTTTTTCTCTTGCTGCTTTTAACATCCTTTCTTTAATCTTGACCTTTGGGAGTTTGATTATTAAATATTTTGACGTAGTCTTCTTTGGATTAAATATGCTTGGTGTTCTATAGCTTTCTCATACTTGAACATTGATCTTTCTCCAGATTTGGAAAGTTCTTTGTTATTATCCCTTTGAATAAGCTTTCTACCCCTATTCCTTTCTCTAGCTCCCCTGTAAGTCAAATAATTCTTAGATTTGCCCTTTTAAGAGTGTTTTCTAGGTCTTACAGGAATGCTTTATTCTTTTTTATTCTTTTTTCTTATGTCTACTCTGATGGTGTCTTTTTGAATAGTCTGTTTTCAAGTTCACTATTTTTTTCTTCTTTTTGATCAATTCTGCTGGTGAGGGATGCTGATGCATTCTTTAGCATGTCAATTGCATTTTTCAACTCCATAATTTCTGCTTGATTCTTTTAAATTATTTCAATCTCTTTGTTAAATTTATCTGATAGTATTCTGAATTCCTTCTCTGTGTTATCTTGAATTCCATTACGTTTTCTCAAAACAGCTAATTTTATTTATTTTATTTTATTTTATTTTAAGACCAAGTCTCACTCTGTCACCTAGGCTGGAGTGCAGTGGCATGACATTAGCTCACTGCAACCTCCACTTCCTAGGTTCAAGCAATTCTCATGCCTCAGCCTCCTGAGTAGTTGGGACTACAGGCACATGCCACCATGCCTAGCTGATTTTTGTATTTTTAGTAGAGATGGGTTTTCGCCATGTTGGCCAGTCTGGTCTTGAACTCCTGGGCTCAAGTGATCCACCCGCCTTGGCCTCCCAAAGTGCTGGGATTACAGGTGTGAGCCATCACTCCCAGCCAGCTATTTTGAATTCTGTGTCTGGAAGGTCATACATCTCTATTTTTCCATGATTGTTCCCTGGTGCCTTATTTAGTTTGTTTGTTGATGTCATGATTTCCTGGATGGTCTTGATGCTTGTGGATGTTCGTCAGTGTCTGGACATTAAAGAGTTAGGTATTTATTGTAGTCTTTGCTATCTGGGCTTGTTTGTACCTATCCCTCTTGGGAAGGCTTTCTAGGTATTCAAAGGGACTTGGGTCTTATAATCTAAGTTTTTAGTCATTGCAACTATATCTGCATTAGTAACACTATTTCTTGCAGACTCATAGAGGTACTGCCTTGGTGGTCTTGGATAAGATCCAGAAGAATTTTCTGGATTACCAGACAGAGCCTCTCATTTTCTTCCCTAACTTTCTCTCAAAGAAATGGAGTCTCTCTGTGCTGAGCTTTCTGGAATTGAGGAGGGGGGTGACACAAGTACCCCTGTGGCCACCAGCACTGGGACTGTGCTGGATCAGGCCAGAAGCCAGCACAGCACTGCATCTCACCCAAGACCCATGAGAACTAATGCCTGGCTAACACCTCAGTTTACTCAAGGCTGTAGGGCTCTACAGTCACCAGGTGGCAATGTCAGCAAGGCTGAAGTCAGAAACCTTAGGAATCTACCTGGTGCTCTATTCTTCTAAGGCTGAACTGGCCCAAGTCAAAAGAAAAAGTCCTTCCCATTCCTCCCTTCTCTTTCTACAAGCAGAGGATTCTGTCCCCATAGCTACCACCATCCCAGGCCCATGGAAAGTACTGCTTGGTTACTACCTATGTTAACTCAAGACCCAAGCGCTCTTCAGCCAGCTTGTGGTGAATCCTATCAGGCCTGGGACTCTCCCGTTAATGCAGTGGCCTCTCTTCTGGTCCAGGGCAGGTCCAGAAACGTTGTCCAAGAGCCAAGGCCTGGAATCAGGGATCTCAAGTACCTGCTTGGTGTTACCCCACTGTGTCCCAACTGGTGCCTAAGCTACAAGACAAAGTCCCATTTACTCTTCCCTATCCTTTTACCAGGCAGAAGGAGACTCTCTTCACAGCTATCACAGCTGGGTATGCACTGGGTCACATATGAAGCCAATATATCTCTGATTCTCATCTAAGCCTATGGGAAGTAATCCGTGGCTATGACTGCTGATCATTGAGAGCCCAAGGGCTCTTTAATCAGCAGGTGGTGCTGCCAGGACTCATTCCTTCATTTCAAGTCTATGGATTCACTTCTATCCCAGGATGTGTCTAGAAATGTTATCCAGGAGCTAAGGCCTGGAATGAGGGCCTGCAGACTCAGACCAGTACTCAATCCTACAGTAGCTGTGCTGGTATCCTAGTTGCAAAACAAAGCCCTCTGTACTCTCCTCTCTCTTCTCCTCAAGGAGAGGGAAGGACTCTTTTCTGGAACTTTGAGCTGCACTGACATTTGTTGGAGGAGAAGGAGCACAAGCACTTCCTTAGCCACCTCAGCTGGTTTCTCGCTGGGTCACATGCCCCCAAGTCCACTGGCTGTGAGCTTAACACAGCACCAGGACTGGCCCAGGATTTGCAGTCCTTGTGGCCTAGACTGCCTTTCAAGTTTCTTTGGTACCCCAGAGCACTTTAACACACAGTGGCTTGGCTTGCTAGAACTTAAGTTTCAACCACTGGGATGGGTGACTCCCCCATGCCTAGGGCTGGTATAAATGCTTCCTTCATGGGCACTGGCTGAGTTCTGTGTGATGTTGCTTTCCACTGTGACAGGGAAGCACTGAGTTCCAATGCTAAGTATCACAATCACTGTACTCTCCCTCCCCCAAATGCAGATTCTCAGTGCCATGAGGCCACTTTTGACGATGGTAGAGGGGTGGTGTAGGCAATTCAAGAGTGTCTTTCCTACCCACTTCTGTCCCTCTTTCAGTGATGTAAAGCTTAATCCAGCTCCTGTGATTGCTCAACTGATTTTTGGTTCTTATGAACATGCTTTTTGATGTGGATTGTTGTTCAACTTGCTGTTCTGTGGGGAGGGTGACTGGTGAAAACCTCTATTTGGCTACCTTGCTCCCCCAACTCTCCCCAGGTTCCTATTATTCTATTGTCTTCATCTATGAGATTAAATTTTTTAGCTCCTACTTATGTGTGAGAGCATGTAATAATTGTCTTTCTGTGCCTGGCTTATTTCATTTAACAATGACTTCCAGTTCCATCCATGTTGCTGTAAATGACATAATTTCATTCATTTTTGTGGATGAACAGAACTCCATTGTGTATATATACACCACATTTTAAAAAAGTGTGATATTTTAAAAGGTGCCTTCTTTGGGTATATAGCCACAAGATCTATGGCTTGGATAATAGAGGCAGCACTGGATTTCAGTCTGAATCACTATCTGGGATAGAATAAGCTGAAGAATATTTCAAGTGGAGGGGACCACACTAGGAAAAAACACATTATCTTACATCTGTGAGTTATTATTAATTTAAGAAAGGTAGAAAAATGTCTGTTCAGGACCTTGAACCATTTTTAAATCAGGTTATTTGTTTCTTTGCTATTGAGCTGTGTGAATTCCTTACATATTTTGGATATTAGAACCTTATCAGACATGTGATTTGCAAATATTCACAAATAGGCTGCCTTTTCATTTCAGTGATTGTCTCCTTTGCTGTGCAGATACTTTGATATAGTCCTACTTTATGTCTGTTTTTGTTGCATGAACTTTTAGTGTGATATCCAAAAAAGTATTGCCAATGCAAATATCAGGAAGCTTTTTTGCTATGTTTCTTCTATTAAGTATTATTGGTTTAAGTGTTATGTTTAGGTCTTTAATCCATTTTATGTTGATTTTCTATGTGGTATAGGATGGATCCATTTCATTCTTTTGTATGTGGATATCCGGTTTTCTCAAAACTGTTTATTGAAGAGGCTGTCCTTTCCCCATTGCGTCTCCTTGGTGATCTTGTTGAAAATTAGTTAACTATATATGGTTGGATTCATTTATGAGCTCTCTATTCTGTTCCATTTGTCTATGTGTTTAATTTTATGCCAGTACCATAATATTTTACTATAGCATTGTGATATAATATGAAATCAGAAAATGTGATGCCTCCAACTTTTTTTTCTCTGGACTGTTTTTGCTATTAGGGGTCTTTTATAATTTAATGCAAATTTTAGATTTTTTTTTGGCAGTGAAAAATGCCATTAAAATTTTGATAAGGATTACATTCAATCTGTATATTGCTTTGTATAATGTGGGGATTTTAACAGTATTAATACTTCCAGTCCAAATTATGACATTTTTTTTATTTATTTTTATCTTCTTCAATTTTCTTAGGAAATGAAATCAGCATTTTGTAGAGATATCTGTTCATTTATGTTCATTGTAGCATTATTCACAATAACCACAATATGAAAAACTCAGCATCTATCAACAGATGAATGAATAAATAAATTATAGTATGTATGTGTGCATGTATATATTAATATTATTCTGCCTTTAAAAAGGAGATACTGCCATTTGTGATAACATGGATGAAACTGGAGGATATTTTGCTAACTGATATAATCCAGACACAGAAGGAAAAATACTATATGATCTAACTTATGTATAAAATCTAAAAAAGTCAAATACATAGAAATGGATAATAGAATGGTGGCCACTGGAGGGAAGAGTAAGAAATGAGAAGTAGGTCAAAGGGAACAAATTTGCAAGTAAATAAGATAAATATATCTAAAAATCTGATAAACCAAATAAGGACTAGAAATAATAATATTGTACTATATGCTGGAAATTTCCTAAGAGAGCAGATTTTAGGTGTTCTTAACAAACACATGCACACAAAGATATAGATGATTGATCGTTAAGT
The DNA here is from genome assembly GCF_000001405.40 of Homo sapiens. NCBI lineage: Eukaryota > Metazoa > Chordata > Mammalia > Primates > Hominidae > Homo > Homo sapiens. The sequence continues at coordinate 167,205,953 of NC_000003.12, read as the reverse complement.
ATTCATTTTGCTGTATATACAGCAGAGAGAGAGGGAGAGGTGGAAGAATTACTATATATTTTTTTCTAACTCTAACTGCCCAATCTAACTACCAGAAAGTAATACTTTACATTTGCTTACAATACAGATTAATTAACATAAATTACTATTTTATTCTGAGATGTAATAGTGTAGTTATTACAGGTTTTGAATCCTGGTTCCACCAATTAATTACTTATTAGGTTTGTGAAAAAGGGCAAGTTATTTCTCTGTGCCTTCATTTCTTCTCCTGTAAAATGCAGACAAAATATGCAATAGGAACGTCATGACACTCTTGTGAGGGCTGAAAGAGTAAAACTATCTAAAGTGCTTCCAAAAGTGCTTGGCATATAGTAAGTCCTGCATAAATGTTAGCTGTTATTATCTCATTTGATTGATTCAGTAATTCTATAAAGTCAGCAGTAGTACATAATTATCCCATTTAACACATGACCCAGATATCACTTGAGATCACAAAACCACTTAAGATCTTTATATGATTGATCATGTATAATGGAAGACTAAAGCTCTTCTTTAGTGTTTTATTTTTTTTCTTTTCAAATTCTTCATGGCTTACATTCTCATGCTGGCCTCAGTTACTTCACCCCAATCCTGAGAACTTGCTGTTTCCCATTGAGTAATTCCTCCTTCCTCCTCATAGTGTCATCCCTTCTCCCTCTGCATCTCCCACTATTTACCATCAACCATCATTATAAAGCTCTTCAGTGTAATAGACCTTCTATGGAAAAGTTCACGGTTTTAATGAGGGGTCAAATTGCACCCTACATAACAAACAACTTAAAATTGAATTGTATTTTAGATCTTTCTCCTGCCCTGCCACAGAAATTTCTAATACCTGGGTTATCTCATGTTGTGCCCCCATATTGTCACCATGTCTTCTCTCTCTGCCTCCTCCTATTTCTTCATCATTTTTTTCCTTCTCTTCTCATCTTCTCCATCAATAGTAAGAACCAAATTTATCTCTTCTCTTTTTCTCCTGCAAGAAAACTGAGACTTACTTTTTTTTTTTTGGTCTGAGTTCCTGTCCTCTATATCTTATCTTCTATCTCAAGTATTTATCACAGACCTTTTCTAAACAAAGACATTCTCTCCCTGAATCTGGATCAGCTGTTAAGAAAATTGATTTTTCTAGTTCTAGAACCCAGCCATCCCATTACTGGGTATATACCCAAATGAGTATAAATCATGCTGCTATAAAGACACATGCACACGTATGTTTATTGCGGCACTATTCACAATAGCAAAGACTTGGAACCAACCCAAATGTCCAACAATGATAGACTGGATTAAGAAAATGTGGCACATATACACCATGGAATACTATGCAGCCATAAAAAATGATGAGTTCATATCCTTTGTAGGGACATGGATGAAAATGGAAACCATCATTCTCAGTAAACTATCGCAAGAACAAAAAACCAAACACCGCATATTCTCACTCATAGGTGGGAATTGAACAATGAGATCACATGGACACAGGAAGGGGAATATCACACTCTGGGGACTGTGATGGGGTCAGGGGAGGGGGGAGGGATAGCATTGGGACATATACCTAATGCTAGATGACACATTAGTGGGTGCAGCGCACCAGCATGGCACATGTATACATATGTAACTAACCTGCACAATGTGCACATGTACCCTAAAACTTAGAGTATAATAAAAAAAAAAGAAAAGAAAAGAAATTTAAAATGAAAAAATTAAAAAAAAAAAAAAGAAAAAAAGAAAATTGATTTTTCTTCTGCATTATAAACTTACAAGTAAACCAAGGAACTTAAGAGAACTTCTGTGGATGATTGGAAGTTTTCCATGTGATATTCAATAGAACAAGGACTTAAATTGAATTCCTTGAACTAAATTCAGTACATTGTCTGTTGTCTTCTTATTTAAGGAACAGCTATGAGATATTTTAGTGTCTTATCTTTTGACATATTTATTATGTGTTCAGTTGACAGCATTATGCTAGAGATTAAAAGTTTCAAAGATGAATAAGACTTAGTCTGTGTTCTCAGAGTACTTAAAAATTTATTGTGGGCAACTGAATGCTTTACGGGTTACAAGGAAAATAACCTTGCATCAACTAGAGTAGTTCTGCTCTTGCCAATATTACATTTCGGCTATGGTCTAAGATTTTTATTAAAGAAATAGTTTCTAATTTTAACAAAATAAAATAAAAAGAAACAAAATAAATACAACAGGAAGATAATTGCTTATAAAGATAGGTTATTGTAGAATTTCTTTGGCTCACTGTTATATGCTTCCTTAAGCAACCCTGATATTTTATGGCTAGTAATTTTATTCATTTCTTTTTAAATAAACATACATTGTCTTAAAATTAAGAAGAATATAAGGAGAAAAAAAACTTCACTTAACCTACTTATTTGTTTGTTAACTTTTCTGTATATATCCTTTCATTTTGTCTTAGCATACGTACACATACACACAGAGAAATTTTTTTCTGCATATAATTGGTGTTATGGGCTACATTATGTCCCCTCAAAATTCATATGTTGAAATCCCAACCTCTAGTACCTTGAAATGTAAGCATATTTAAGGATAAGGTCTTTAAAGGGGTGATAAGATTAAAATGCACATGTTAGGGTGGGGCCCTATCTTAATATGACTGGTGTTGCTATAAACAGAAGAAGAGACATCAAGGGTGAATGCACACAGACGAGAGGTCATGTAAGGACACATTGAGAAGGTGGCCACATGCAAACCAAAGACAAAGGCCTCAGGAGAAACAAGGCCTGCCAACACTTTAATCTTGAACTTCTAGCCTCCAAAATTATGAGAAATTTTTTTTAGGTCAGCTAGTTTGTGGTATTTTGTTATGATAGTTCTAGTAAACTAATATAATTGGCATCATGCTTTTCCCATATTTTATATTAGATCATGATCATTTTGCCATGTCAATAAAAATTCTTCATGAACTAATATGACACTATGGGGAAGCATCACACTTTAATGAACTATTCCCTATTGTAAGATATTCGGCTTTAGTACCTGTTTGCTAGAAGAACCTTCGAAGTTGAGAATTAATGAAATAATGGGTCCCTCAGTTGGTCTGAATAGGAAGCTATTGGGTTGATAATCTGGGGGTGTGATTATGCTGACAGTTTATTTCTACCAAGAGTGGTAAAACAGGTTTTACCTTTTCCACTGAAACATGCTGCTCATTGCAATGGTACCTCATAACTGCTATGACGGCATGCCCATTATAAACTTCCATTTTCAGGGTTTTAAAACATAGCTATTAAGACTTGATTTGAAACAAAACTGCAGAATCAATTTTCAAGTTTTCCTTTTTAAAGCTTTTATTTCTGAACTTGTGACTGGGTTTGCATTTCATTCAAGCAATAAAGGAGATTACTAGCAGAAACTTACTAGTTTCAGATATTGTCTTTAGATTCTTTAAATCTAATAGCTTTGCTTTAAAATAGAATTTCATAGACCATTACTTGATCATATTGATTAGTTTAGTTTGCTAAATTATTTTAAAACAAAATCACAGAGATATTAAACTCTAATGAAGTTTGCATATCTCCAATAGCTGTTTCTCAGCGATTTAACACACATTCTGATAATGCTTCTCACAAATATGAGGCAAAGAGAACAGTGGCTCAGTACTCTGCCCTTGTACATTATTTAATAAAACTAAACTTTTCCTGAAACAATGGAACTTTATGCCATTATATGAAGACCACTGGATATTTAATCAAGAGCCTCAGGTTCAAGCCCTTCTCTCACTAAGAGTCTGTGTGACCTTGGATATCTCCAGTAACATTATTATGCCTCAGATTGACTACTGACATGGTAAATGTAATGCCACCTGTAGCCCCTACTCTACCCATCCACAACTCATAGGGACCAAATGAAACAGAGCAGGAACATGCACTTTATAAACTGCAAGTGGTAGAAATTATTGTTACTTAGCATGTAGGTGAGAACTATGTCGATCATTTAAAACAGATAATGCATACATTGGTGGTCTGTTTAGATGAAGATGGTGTATGGCATGAAACTGTTGTGAGGTTTTTCTAAAATAAAGAGAACAAGAAATTTCTTAAAGAACTTAAGCATTTTCCATCCCGTCAGGCAATGTATCTGTATACGTTCACATTTCTATTTTGACTGTTTTGAGGAATAGCTTTTTCTTTAAGATTATTTAAAATGCAGAGACACAACAAGCAGCAATCTGCATCTCCTGGAGTTTGACGCACCCTGTTATTTTTAGTTATTTGAACTATTATTTCTAGAAATTGGTGATTTACATGAAAAGTTAGCCAGTTCTATTTTAATGCAATTTACATGATGAGTTTCTGATTTGTTTACATCAGCATAACCTAAAACAAATAACCAATTAGTGGAGATTAGTTCAGTATTATTCATTTTAGGTGACTAATGGAAACCATCAGTAATGGGGCATTTACATATTAGTTTGAACAAGGGAATTAGTCTTTGACTTTTTAACTGTTCAATGAGGAATAAGTAACAGGAAAAACATTTTAGTATGTGGAAAGAAGGATAGAGGGTCTTGTGTTAATAAAAAAACTTCTTGGCTATAAAATTTTCAGATCACTGAATAGATTTAAAATAACATATGTTGTAGAAATACCAGATAGATTTCTGTTCTCAATCTACTCCTACCTAACCCAGCCCTAGTCTAACACATTAACCTTGGACTGCTCTATGAACAAAATATAAACTTTGTCTTTCAGCTACTGTACATTTGGATCTATATTTTACTTTGTAATACCTGGGAAACTTTTCAAATCATTAACTATCTTGGGCCTATCAAATCAGCACTCTTTGGGATGAACTATAGGAATTCAACATACAGGGGATTTTGAAGCATAAAGAAGTTTGAGAACAACTGAATTAGGTGATTCATTCATCCTTACCCAGGCTCATGATGCCTATCATTGGTCAAGTTATTCTCTCTACTTAGGATATTCTTTATCAGCAATTTCATATTTCCATCTTATCCATCTTGTAAGGCCCAATTCCAAAGCTACCTCTCCATGAAATCTGACCTGAGCCTTCCAAATGGGTGGGATGTCAATTAGTTGAGATTCCTTCCACTTTTGTGGCACACTTTGATGGCACATACTTTGTCTACCTCACAGTAATTATTTGGGAGATGTCATCCTCATTACTAGAACTAATCTGTAGACTCTTTGAGGAAACAGAGCGTATTTACTTCTCTTTCTTTATTACATAAGTGCCTGTACTCATTATTCACACATATTCTCATATATTGTGAATAACTGAATAAATATTTATCAAGTGGAATTCAAATAATGACTTCAGACTCCTTGAGGAATGGGATAAAGAAGAAAGAAGGTTGATCCAGATGCGTATGCAGTTACTTAGAGAAAGTAGATTAGAATTCAAGCCTCAGGACACTCTGAGAGTCTTTGACACTTTTCTTTAATTTCAGGCTCCAGTTTCAAAACCTGAGAGTCTTCAAAAAGCATGTATACATGAGATGATGCTGAAGACTAAATGCCCTCTAGCAGAAAGCTTTAAAGATAAAAATACCTGACACCTAGTTAAATTTTAATTTCAAATCAAAATATTTAGTGTAATTATGTCTCATGTAACATTTGGGGCAATATTCATTGTTTATCTGATATTCAAATTTAACTAGGTGTACTGCGTTGAATCATGCTCCCCTCTCCTCTGCCAAATTCATGCCACCTAGACCCTGAGAATGTGACCCTTATTTGGAAATGGGTCTTTGCAGATGTAATCAAGTTGAAATGAGGTTATGCTGGGTAAGAGTAGGACTTAAATTTCATAACTGATGTCCCAAGAAGAAGAGACATAGACAGACAGACACACAGAGCCATATGAAGACAGAGGCAGAGATTAAATTGATGTATCTGTAAACCAAGGTACAAAAAGGATTGCTTGCAACCACTAGAAGCTAGAAAAATCAAGGAAGGATCCTTCTGTAGAAACTGTGGAGAGACCACAGCCCTCCTGACACATTGATTTCAAATTTTAAATCTCCAGAGCTGTGAGAAAATGAATTCGTGTTATTTTAAGCACTCCGTTTGTGGTAGTTTTTAATGGTAACTCTTGAAAATGTATGTGCTGGATGTTCTGTATTTTTATTTGCCAAATCTGTAAACCCTATGGAGGATATCTTCAATCTCCTAAAAATAAGTATTTAGCCATATTACTAGACATCTAATGGCCGTAGAATGTATTGTGACCATAATCTCAGTAGACATTTGAATTGATTGTGGGAGGAGATAGCTTTTTGAGAGAATCCTACATTAAACAAAAATCCACTGGTCTCTTGCATTACCATGTGTATGTAACAAGACCTTTTAGAAATTTCCCTGGTAGTATTCCTCTACTTAGTGTAAGAATCATGATGGAATAATAAACTTTCAAGTGTTATTTCCTGAGTCATGTGCATACAATTCCACGTATGTATGTTAATTTCTATGGACCTGTATATAATTCCCAGGAGGGAAGTCTCCTGCCCACAATTCCCATATGGCTTGATGATTACTTGCCTGAGAGTCTCACTGCCTAAAGTATTCCCCAGATGCTGCAGCTGATATACTTGACAAAATAGGGCCAGATGAACTGGAAAGTTCATGCCTTTGCAGTGACCCTCAACCAACAAAAGATGAGAGCTGGTGAATTCATCAGCTTTCAGTGGTACAATTCAATTACAAGGCATATTTCACAATCTCTCACATGTCCCCAACAGGATTGAGTCCCAGTTGCCCACAAAGGTGGCCTGTTCATCAACTCACCCTTTAATGCTTCTCCTGCTTCTCTATCTCACTTCCCCATTCTCTTATGTGTTTCCTGAAATCACCTACCCAACAATTTTTGTCTAAAACTTCATTTCAGTGATTTGTTTTTCTTTCTCTCCTGTTACTTTTGGGAGAACACAAACAAAAACAAAGTAAATGTACATTTTTAAAACTTTATGTTTTAAAATAAATATCATTGAATTGCTTTCCAGAAAGGCTAAATCCACATGCACTCTTACCAAATAACCTTTACTTTCATTTTTAAACTGAATTAAAGACCTACCCAAACTTCTGAATCCTGTGTGACAAAGATAATCCTTGGATACCTGATAGTTACAAAGCACTTTTGAAGGTGCGTTTGTTATTAACAAATCCAGTGGCTTTACTTGTAATGAGTTGTTCAAAATGCCTAACTCAAAAAACAGCTATGTATTTACTCAGTGGTTTTAAAGCTTTGTGTTTCCATTCATATCTGATAAGTATTTTCTTCTCTTTTATTTGACTGGAAATTTGTCACAATTTTAAATGGGAACATTTAGACAAGACTCTTTCACAATCACTATTATATGGCTTAAACTTAATTCATTTTTCTGTTTGAAATAGCCACAGGATCTATATTAATATATTTTTAATTGACTTTTAAAAGAAATGTACCATCCAGAAATTTAACAGGTGAAAGTACTGTTGATTTTCTTGTCTCTGCCATACTATGTTTCAAGAATTTTACAAATAATATTTTTACATTATCATATTAGGATATCCATGTGTCTGTGACAATAAAACAGTCAAGGAAAAGGAGGGCTCCTTAAGTTTAATAAAGCCCTTATAACAACTCTACTCAAATTCACTTAAGCTTATAAAAATATTGTAAACCAAAAAGGAAAGCATAGGTATGATTCTGAGAAGCTGTTTCTGTCACACTAGATATAACACTATCAGAACATACCTCTTCAAGTAACCGAGATGCTTGGAGAAAGGTTATTATGGTTTCATCTATTTTGGGTACTTGCTAATTCTCAAATGATAATTTAAAAAATCAATGTCAATCTTCTAAAAGAGATCCTACAAATGAACTGATTTTTGTTAAGGAATGAATCCTGGAAATAATTTCTTCATTGTTGATCAATAGATTTTTGTAAAATAGCCTGTAAGCACATTGGTACTTATATGGTACTTACAGCTCAGACCAAGGCTTCTTATCTATTTCCTATGATAAGATAGGGACTGTATAACTTGTTGGATCAAATATCTGGACACATACTGTAGTTCTTATATGTCAATATTATTTCATACAATTTTTGTGCAAACAACATTAGAAAGTAATATACTTTTCTATATAGCATAGCAAGAATAGCAAGATTTGATGACTATTATCTTTAATAACAACTTAATTTTTTAAATAAAATAATCAACTTTCGGAATATGACTCATTCTGACAGCATGTCAATAGCACAGTATTTTTTGGAATTTTTCTTATTGTATATGCTCTCAAAGACATCTGTCAATCTAGATTTTCATGGAGCTAACTATGTAATTTAATATACTGAAGTGACAAGTTACATTTTAAATTCTTATTTTTATTTTTTATTTTTTTTGAGAAGGAGTCTCACTCTGTTGCCCAGACTGGAATGTGGTGGTGCAATCTCGGCTCACTGCAAGCTCCACCTCCTGGGTTCACACCATTCTCCTGACTCAGCCTCCTGAGTAGCTGGGACTACAGGCGCCCACCACCACACCCGGCTAATTTTTTGTATTTTTAGTAGAGATGGGGTTTCACCGTGTTAGCCAGGATGGTCTCGATCTTCTGACCTCGTGATCTGCCCGCCTCAGCCTCCCAAAGTGCTGGGATTGCAGGCGTGAGCCACCGTGCCCAGCCTACATTTTAAATTCTTAACTCCTTAATGAGAAGAGCTCTAGTAGATTTTTGTATAATTCTATTCTGTGGATATTAGCATTTTTTGAGTGGTTTGCAACTGGTGCCTCCCAAGACAGCTTTTGGTTGAATGCCTCTTTGTCACCAAATGGAAGGCATCACTGGTAAGAAATAGTGCATTGCAATCATTTCCATATATCAGCAGTTTCTGCTCATATACCGTATGTCAATATTTGCTTGATGTTTTGGCATTTTCTCCCTTTGCTGTCATTGTCCTTGAAGAAAGAAATTATGGTAGAAATCGTATAACCTTTAGGATGCTTGGAGTAGCTACTCTCATTTTGGTACTATTTCACCAGGGATTCTTTTTGTTGAATGAATTCGATAATATCTATGTGTTAGCATAGGAAAAGGATACATTTTTTTTTAAACTCAGGTACCCAAACACAACTTCTTTATGCTTTAAATAAGTTTTAAATAAGTTTGTCCTTTATTAAGCCAGTGATTAAAATATTTTAGCAAATGCCTGAAATCCTAATACCCTAGAAGCTTCTATTGTCAATAGTATTAGCAAATGAATGATGCTAAAATTGAAGTATTACTGAATAAACGAGAGTCATTTTACCATCCACAATGTTGCTACCTTAGTAATTATTAACAGTTGATAAGTCTGGGCTACAGAAAAAGGTCCACTTAAGTTATGTATTTACTTAAGAATCATCTGCTTAAATAAGAATCATATGGGATATAAATCCCACACATTGATTTTATTGAATGTTTTATAGATGATTTTAAATATAGCCGGGATGGACTCATGTCTAAGCAGCTTTTCTAATGCCAATAAAATGATTGGTATGTTTTACTATTTAAGTAGTAAAAAACTTTTTGTAAGGTGATTAGACTTATTTTAAATTTTCCTCTTGCTCCATTAATTGCATTTATTTCTTTCACAACCAGTGTGATGTTTGAATCTTGATGAAATAGAATTGGTTTCACATGATAGCATATAGATTCTTCTCAAGACTCTTTGTGAACTAGTCCTCAGTTGGTTCTAAAGGGCTGTTCTCTTGATCATACCACAGACACTGATACATCAGTATCAAAGGGGCCTTTGTAATAGCTAAAGAAATGGGTTGTGGGGAGGCAAAACTCATCATTAGAGTATTCAGTGATATCGCTATGTGATATATGTCATGCAGAAGAATGTATAGTGGCCATAATGATTTTAACAATTAATGGGATGAGAAGATACCTGGGAATGGCTTCACTGATTTCAGATATACCCCAAATATTGCTGTGTGTATATGTTGTTTTACTTTGAATTCACTGTGAAATCCCAAAGTGATTTAACACAGAGAAGATAAAACTCTTGAACTTCAACATTAAGTGAAGACTTGGGTTTCTGTGATGCCAGACGGTGTAAACTCTTGTGACAGTTTTTGATTAGTTTATGCTAGGAAACACTGCTATAGATTCTGGCAGGTAGAGATGGCTTGGGGCTTTCTTTAGGCCGTTATAAACGTCAGATTTGATGCATTTAAAGGCTACCGTTGGCTTCAATTTTAACAGCATATACAATGATTTTATAAATATGTTTGTTCTCAAAGAAATCCCCAAAATGTTAAAGTTAGAGCAGATGGTGTGACTCTGCAATATAAGAATTACTGTGCCTACCAGGAAGAAAAATGGTTTCGTTTAATTTCAGTCTGATAAAGACTGATGCTGATTAAATGTAAGTTCAACACAGCTACACATCTTGAATTTATATGTAAAAGATTGTTTGGAAAAGGGTTAGTTTGGCATATGTTTTGTTTCTAGGTTTTAAAGTATATTTCATGTTGATTTTTGGGATACTTTATATTATTTTATTCTATAATAAGAAAGCCTTCCTGTTTATAATTACTCAAAAGTTACACTAATTTCTTATTGCCAGAGTAAATTTGAATGGTTAAGCTGAGTTAGTGATAAATTAACTCTGAGAAAAAAACCATCAGAGAATTGTAGGCCTTTAGTGTTCCTTGGGAAGACCTTTGATGCTACATTTGCTCCATCCCAGCCAGGTCTTTGCTGTCACTGATTATCCTCCCAAGACTACCTTCTCCCCACCTTGGACCATTCTTTAGGAAGGAAGTTGCATCTAACACAAATTTTTCTCCTTGGGGTAAAACATGGAATCTGGTTGCTAAGAGAGATATGATGGCACCGGTTGTTTCTGGAGACTGTGTAGAAGATAGTGCTGGAAGCTTGCTGACGTTTCTCGTGGCCTGAAACCTTAAAGGGTAATTTTCAGGAAGGCAGGAGCACTCAGTGCTTCTGGTCCTTGTCAAGGGTCATTGCTTCCTCCTGGTGCTCCTGAAAGAGAATACACTGAGCCTTGGGAAGTTCCTATACAAGGGAAAGGCCTGAAGCTTGAGCTTCATTAGCTTCTTGGTGAACCAGCCTCTAGTCTTGTAGGTCAAACTACAGTTCCTTAAATTCTTTCTACCTAAGGTAAGGATAAGTCCTGGTGGCTCTGAGGAGCCCAAGCCAGCAGTTGGGATAGTCAAAAATGTCCATTTGAGGAAAATGAGGACTAGTGGTGACAGTGGAAACCAAACAAGTCTAATGAAAATGTCATTGTTTATCTTCTGCTTTAGCCCCCAGAATTTTGTCATTGACAGCTCTCTGGCTGATCATTGCCATATTTTTTATATTTGCTCAGTTTTACATACTTCTCACTTCCAAATTCTGAAATACGCACAGGAGTCCAAGATCAAAACACTACTTTCATTCTGTGAAATAGTTTGGGGAGTTAACCTTGGACTTGAAATTGAAATACATCCTGCTTCCTCTGCCATGAATTCATTCATTCACCCAGTCATAGACAGGATGCTAGATAATGCATATCTTCCCTTCTAACCTTGCATAGGCCATGTCTAGTGTGGAGGACTGAATTCCAAGGGGAGATGCAAGTAAACTGAGCTTTTACAGTTCTGTGCTCTATGAATCAGTTTTAAAAATGAATATACATATATATATATATATATATATTTAGTACATATTTAGTACATGTGATATTTTGAAACATAGTAATAATTAATCAGGGTATTTGGGATAGCCATTACCTCAAACATTCACCATTTCTTTGTGTTGTGAACATTTTGAATCTTCTCATCTAGCTATTTTGAAATATACAGTAAATTATTACAAAATCTAGTCACCCTACCAGTTATTGAACACTAAAACTTATTCTATCTAACTTTATGTTTGTACCCATTCCCAACCTCTCTTCAACTTCCCCCAACCTTTCTAACTTCTGGCAACCATTAATCTATTCTCTACTTCCATGAGACCAACCATTTTAGCTCTCACATATGAGTGAGAAAATGCAATATTTGTGTTTCTGTGTCTGGCTTATTTCATTTAACATAATAACCAGCAGTTTCACCCATGTTGCTGCAAATGACCAGATTTTATTCATTTTAATGGCTGAATAGTTTTCCACTGATTATATAGGTCACATTTTCTTTATCCATTCATTTGTTGATGAACACTTAGGTTAATTCCATATTTTGGCTATTGTGAATAGTGCTGCAATAAACATGAGACAACTTTGGAATTCTCCCATGGGAGAACATGGGAGAACCACCAAAATGGTGGTGGAGAAGCAAGCTGACTATATTACTCACCACAGAAAACCAAAAACAAACATGCATTGCCAGGGAACCCAAGATTGTAGGGAACTACAATTGTTCCTGTCTCAATCTCAATAGAAGCATAAGAGTACATAGATGGACAAATACCACTGAGGATAGCCAGAGACAAAGAGGGGAGGCAGGATGAACATCTCTAACCCTGAAATCTCTGCTCTGTAACTCTGTCAAAAAGAAGAAAAATCAGAATGGCTGTTCAGCAACAGAATGTGGTGAAAGGTTTGTTTTCACAGATTTCCTGGGCACAAACTACCACACAGCCTTCCCACACTACCAGGTTAGCCCCTTTGGAACCACCCCCATTCAGGACATGTGATACTTTGATTGTTTACTAGAACTGAGGCAAATCTGGGTTTAAGGTGCCATTTAATTCCAAAATGTAGGCAATAACCTAGTGGGGAAAAAAGAAAGACAACCAACAGGTAAATTACAGAGAATCTCTGAGCCAACCTAGACAACAAAAGCCAAAACAAGCCAGGCAGAGAAGACTGGAATAAATAATAAATACTTCAATGCAAAGACATAGGTGTACACCCACAAAAACGAACAGCAAGCAGGAAACCATGACCTCCTCAAAGGGTCAGAGCAAGGAACCAGTGAGTGACTCTGAAAAAATGGTGACATGTGAATTATCTGACCAAGAATCTAAAATAGCAGTTTAAAGTAAACTCTGTGATCTCTGAGATAACACAGAAAAGTAATTCAAACATTTTCCAAAGAAATGTAATGAAGAGATTAAAATAATTTTAAAAATCAAAGAAAAATCTTAAAGCTGAGAAATACATTTGCTGAACTAAAAAATTTGATAGAGGCTCTTAACAGCAGAAAAGATCAGGCAGAGAAAAGAATCAGTGAGCTTGAAAACAGGCTATTTGAAAATGCATAGTCAGGGAAAAAAGAATGAAAAGGAGTGAATATTACCTATAAGATAGAGAAAATGACCTCAAAAATGCAAATCTAAGAATTATTGGTGTTCAAAAAGGAGCTGAGCAAGAGAAAGGGATACGATTAAAGAGAACATCCTGAAAGCAACAAGAGCAAACAAGCAAATAACATATAAAGAAGCTCAAATTCATACAGACTTTTCAACAGAAACTATACAGGCCAGGAGGGATTAGAATGATGTTTTCAAAGTCCTGAAAGAGGAAAATCCTTTTTATTCAAGAATACTATACCCAGCAAAGGTCTCACTGAAACATGAAAAAGAGAAATAAAGTCTTTCCTAGACAAACAAAAGTTGAGAGAATTTACTACCACCAGATATCTTACAAGAAATGCTAAAGGCGACTCTTCAATCTGAAAGAAGTAAATAACAATGTGAAAACAAATAAACAATGTGAAAATAAAACATTTGAAAGTATAAAACCCACTGGGAAAATTAAGTTACACAGACAAACTCAGAACATTCTAGTACTATAAATATGTGCAATCCACTCATAACTAAAAGTATGAAGCCCAAAATATAAAACTATCAAAAACAATAATACCTACAGTAACCTGTCAAGAGACAAGCAATATAAAAATATGTAAGTTGATAAAAGATAAAACCTAACTATGGGGAGATTGAGATAAAATGAAGAGGTTTTTTTTGTTATCTAAGATAAGCTGACATTTGATTAAAATAACTTGCTCTATATATATATATATATATATATATATATATATATATATGATTTTTGTAAGCTTCATGATAACCACATTGCAAAAACATTCACTAAAATGAAAAGGAACAAGTAAAGCGTACTACTAGAGAAAATCACTCTTGAGGAGAGAAAAATGAGGGCCTTCACAACAAGATCACAAGATCCCCTACTAATACTTCTGTATTAGTCTGTTTTCACACTGCTGATAAAGACATACCAGAGACTGGGCAGAAGAAAGAGGTTTAATTGGACTCACAGTTCCACGTGGCTGGGGAGGCTTCACACTCATGGTGGAAGCCAAGGAAGAGCAAGTCACATCTTACGTGGATGGGGGCAGGCAAAGACAGAGCTTGTGCAGAGAAACTCCCATTTTTAAAACCATCAGATCTCGTGAGATTCATTCACTCTCAGGAGAACAGGAGAACAGAACCAGAAACAAACATTCTCATAATTTAATCACCTCCCACTGGGTTCCTCCCACAACATGTGGGAATTGTGGGAGTTACAATTCAAGATGAGATTTGGGTGGGGACACAGCCAAACCGTATCAGAGAAAAGAATATCAATTCCTGAGATGGTGGAAGATCCAGAAATGTGGCAATGGAGAAAGATGATTCCATCCAGAATGGCAAAGCTCATGGAGGCTCTTAATTTATAAATTTGCTGTTGCCTCCACAGTTAGCCACACACATTGCCTGTGCCCTGGTCAGCAGAGACAGATTGTTTCTCTTGATTCTTTAGAGACTGGATGTGACAAAACCTGTTTGGGATTTCCCCAATTCTTACTTTTACAGTGGATGCTCCTAGATCTCTAGAATGAGGTTTCTACTTTAGTAACTTGGTTGAAACAGAGAAAGGTTGGTAGGTCTCTGCAAGTCTCTTGCCCTTTCAGGATGGAACCAGCAGGGTCTATATTCCCCTTGGTGTTCACTGCCTCCAGGACAATGCTGGGAGCTGTCCTAAAGCTTTCAGGCCAGGACTGAGCCATGCCTTAGTGAAGATAAGCATAGACCCTAATTCCTGTACCTGGCTTAGGAGCCCTGGTAGTCTTTTTGCGCCAAGATATTCCTAAGTTCACCTCAAAGTCTGTTCAGCTCACTGGCATCCTCTTGTCAGCACTCTGTGCCCCCACCTCAACTCATTTTGGTGTGAATTTCAGTGAATGGTCCTGCATCAGAGGAGTGATAACAGCTGACCAAGTTGATAATCTCATGACCACACAAAATCTCTAGTGATAAAAACATGGGCCGGACGCGGTGGCTCACGCCTGTAATCCCAGCACTTTGGGAGGCCGAGGTGGGCAGATCACGAGGTCGGGAGATCGAGACCATCCTGGCTAACACAGTGAAACCCTGACTCTACTAAAAATACAAAAAATTAGCCGGGCGTGGTGGCAGGGACCTGTAGTCCCAGCTAGTCGGGAGAATGAGGCGGGAGAATGGCATGAACCCGGGAGGCGGAGCTTGCAGTGAGCCGAGATTGCGCCACTGCACTCCAGCCTG